>NC_000014.9:71429894-71581409 GCF_000001405.40 Homo sapiens | reverse complement strand
TAAGGCAGTAATACACTGTATATATCACCTTGCTTAGGACATCGTGATATATGTTGCTCTATTAAAGCCTCCAAGAAATCTGCAGCCACAGTGGCTCACGCCTGTAATCCCAACATTTTGGGAGGCTAAGGTGGGAGGGTTTCTTAAGCCCAGGAGTTTGAGACCAGCCTGGGTAACATAGTGAGTTCCCATTATTTTTATTAAAAAGCAGAAAACACCACCACTACCACCACTAATTTTATTAAACTAAGAAATTTCTTAACTGATTTGACCATGGACTCACTTAAAAAAAAAAATCAAACATTTTATATCATGCATCCTATTGAACATAACTGGGGACAAACAGGCCCATATTTCAGAAGAATACAGGATAAAAAACTGAAAATACATTACAAATTTTGATATGTTATAGATAGACAGATAGACAGGCAGGCAGGCAGACAGATTAAAAGGGCAAAGTTAGTTCACCAAAGGACTGACAATGTTTGTCTTTTGATTATGAGTAATTTCTGTTTTTTTATTTATATTTTTTATTTTCTGAAATGAACATGTGTCACCTTCATAATCAGAAACAAAACTTATGAGAAAAAAAGCCATCTTTCTGTTGCTAAAAATATAAAATATGATCTGGGAATGCAGTATGATGACCACACGTTTAAATACTAATTCTAAGATACTATACTTTGTTAAACCTCCAGCCATTCAAATCACCAAAAAAAGTAAAAATCCAACAGATGTCAGGTCCTTCCTGTAAGATGTTCTTGTGCTAAATCCCCTAATTAAAATGAAATCACAGAAGGCTGTATAAAGTAGAGAGTACTAAAGATTATAAGATTAGCAGTATTTATAGGATTTGAATAATTATTTCACATAGATGATTAACACAATTGCTTATATCTCCTCATTTACAGATGCTTTCCTTATATTTAATATTGACATAAAAGTTCCCTTGTGCCCAGCAGCCTTCACCTTGTCCCCTCCCAAGACTGTAGTGACCTAGGAAAATCAGATGAGGGTACCTACGCAGAGCACAGGTTGCCATCATTAGTTCCCCTTTCCTGGGAAGCATCTACTTTCCTACGTATATTCTGTCCTTTTCACAGTCCTCCTTCTGCAGGATTGAGGCTAAATCTGAAGAATGTCTCTATGTGGACTCACACCAACACCCTGGAGAGCTTTACTAAAGTGCTACGTGGTATCAGTGGCTCAAGGAATCGCATACTGGGGAAGAAGAACCTGGTAGTACTGATTTTCTTCTTTGAGGGCAGAAGAGAAAGCGATGAAGTCAGATTTACATTAGATAAGCCATGAAAATTGCCTTTGATCCACATATAATGAACTCTGTAAAAAACGCAGCAGAGAATCTGCATCTCTAAGACAAATTTTCAGGCTGCTAACATTGGCGATTTGAGACAGTCACTGTCAGTGACACAGGGCGCCATCTCTATCCTCAAGTCTCTATTATCTAACTGGAAAAAGAAGACAAGTATGTAGGAAACGGGAAGGGGCTCAGTAGGAAGGAACACCACAAATGGCTTTATTAAGGATAGTGCAGTTTTCTTATTTGAATATTTATGTTCCAAAAAGAATTTAAGAAACTGCACTTGAAAAAACACGTTTAAATTTAGCTGAGGAAAAAAGTAGAAAGGAGCATAAGAACAATGGGTGAACATAATATCCAAACTATTATTAATCATGATTGATATCAACAGTAAGCATATTTCCCTTAGCAGATTTTGAAATACCACCCAAGAACCTAGAACGTAAAAGAAAAACATTAAAATTACTCCACATTGCCTTAGCATGTCCTTAAATACAGACTGCATATGGTTCCTCTGTCTGTCTGACTGTACCGTTATCTCTGAGCATAACCTCTCTCCCTCAAGGGATCTAAGACAGCAGGACTCTGTCACCCATTTCGTTTCCTCACACATGCTCATTCCTCTCCTTCAGTCCTCACCAGCACCCCAGGAGTACAGCTGACCCTTGAACAACACAGGTTTGAACAGGGAAGGCCACTTATCTGTAGATTTTTTTTCAATAAATACACTAAAAAATATTTTGGAGAACTGTGACAATTTGAAAAAACTACATAGCCTAGAAATATAGAAAAAAAAATCAGTAAAAAGTAAGGAATGTCATGAATGCAGAAAATACATGTAAGATATTAGTCTATTTTATCATTTACTACCATAGAAAATACATAAATCTACTTAAGGAGCTAAAATGTATCACAACTTATGCACAGAAAGATCATAAACGGTGCGGTCTGCAGCTGAGAGAAATGTAAACAAATGTAAAGACGTAATATTCAATCATAACTGCATACAATTAATTGTAATACATACTGTATTCCTAAAATAATTTCATAGCCATATCCTGCTGCTATTGCGGTGAGCTCAAGTATTACAATTCTCTGATTAAAAACTAATCCTCTCCAGGTGAGCAGTTCCTCTCTCTGACAAACTTCATGTCAGAGTAAAAAAGTGACCTCTCGTGGTTCTGGTGTATTTTTCACGCTTAGTAAAATACGTTAACCCCAAATAACACCATGGGACCCATATGAAGTGCCACTAGTGATGGTAAAAGTGCTCCCAAGAAGCAAAGTCAGGATTTTATAAGAAAGAGTTGGATTGTTTGATCTGTACCATGGACTGAAGTCTGCAGCTGCAGTTGCCTGCCACGTCAGACAGATGAAGTAAATTTACAGTACTGACAAATACAGTAAAGTACTGCAAATGTATCTTCCTGATGATTTTCTTAATAACATTTTCTCTTCATTAGTTTACTTACTGTAAGAACACACTATATAATACATGTAACATACAAACTATGTGTTCATTCACTGTTCATGTTATCAGTAAGGCTCCTGGTAAACAGTAGGCTATTAGTCAAGTTCTGGAGGAATCAAAAGTTATACTCAAATATTCAACTGCATTCAGGGTGGGAGTTTTGGTGCCACAATCGCTGCATTATTCAAGGGTTAACTGTATCTCCATTTTACGAATGAAGAAAGAGCATAGAGAGGTAAAGGAGTGGTCAGGCCAGGTGCAGCGGCTCACAACTGTAATCCCAGCACTTTGGGAGGCTGAGGAGGGAGGATCACTTGAGCTCAGGAGTCTGAGACCAGCATGGACTCAAACAAAGCAAGACCTCAAACAAAGCAAGACCTTGTCTCTACTAAAAAATAAAAAATAAAAAGTCCGGGAGCAGTGGCTCACGCCTGTAATCCCAGCACTTTGGGAGGCCAAGGTGGGCAGATCATGAGGTCAGGAGTTCAAGATCAGCCTGGCCCACATGGTGAAACCCCGTCTCTACTAAAACTACAAAAATTAGCCAGGCATGATAGCGTGTGCCTGTAATCCGAGGTACTTGGGAGGCTGAGGTAGGAGAACTGGATGAATCCGGGCAGCAGAGGCTGCAGTGAGGCGAGATCGCACCACTGCACTCCAGCCTGGGTGCCAGAGCAAGACTCTGTATCGGAGAAAGAAAAAATAAAAAATAAAAAAAATTAGCCAGGCGTGGTGGTGTGTGCCTGTGGTCCCAGCTATTCAGGAGGCTGAGGTGGCAGGGCTGCTTGAGCTCAGAGGTTTGGGGCTGGAATTAGCTGCCATCGGACCACTGCACTCCAGCTTGGGTGACAGAGCAAGACCGTTTCAAAAAAAAAAAAAAAAAAAAAGGCATGCCCAACAAGCCATAAAGTTAAGCAAATTGTGTATAACACAAAGTGCAGCTGGGCGCAATGGCTCACACCTGTAATCCCAGCACTTTGGGAGGCCAAGGCAGGCGGATCACCTGAGATCAGGAGTTCAAGACCAGCCTGGCCAACATGGTGAAACCCCACCTCTACTAAAAGAATACAAAAATTAGCTGGGTGTGGTGCTATGTGCCTGTAATCCCAGCTACTTGGGAGGTTGAGGCAGGAGAATCATTTGAACATGGGAGGCGGAGGTTGCAGTAAGCTGAGATTGCACCACTGAACTCCAGCCTGGGCAACGGAGTGAGATTTGTCTCCAAAAAAAAAAAAAAATAAGTGCTCACTATATAGCAGGCTCTCTCTCAATACTGGGCTAGTGGTTACAAAATTTATGGTAGAAAAACTACTTTGAAAATATAAAAGAAAAAAGGCTCCCTTATAGCCTGTGTACCACTTCTGCAGTCCAGCGCAGGCATGAATTTCTATATCCTGTGGATATGGATACAGTGAGAGAAAAAGTATTTATTGATAATTAACTTTAACTTTTTAAAAATGCTATGGTAGTCATGTCACTTTGAGAACCTTCAGTGGCTCCTCAACTGCCATGCCATTATTTTCTTTTTCTTCTTTTTTTTTTTTTTTTGCTCTGTCACCCAGGCTGGAGTGCAATAGCATGATCTCAGCTCACTGCAACCTCTGCCTCCCAGGTTCAAGCGATTCTCCTGCCTCAGCCACCCGAGTGGCTGGGACTGCAGGTGCCCGCCACCACACCTGGCTAATTTTTATATTTTTAATAGAGACGGGGTTTCACCATGTTGGCCAGGCTGGTCTCAAACTCCTGACCTCGTGATCCAGCTGCCTCGGCTTCCCAAAGTCTGGGATTACAGGCATGAGCTACTGCACCTGGCCCCTGCCATTATTTTCTTATTTAGGCCTGGATTTTAGGCCTGGAATTCAAGAGTAACTGGCACCTGCCCACAAACTGTTTCCTTCTTATATTAACAGAAGGAAACAGGCTTGCCCTAAACAAACCACTGTGCCCTCTTCATAAAGCTCTACCAAGTGACTCAGCCTGCATGAAGAATTCAATATTGACAATTTAAAACTGTAAATTATAAAGAATACCTTGTCTGAGCCCATCATTTTCCACCAGTAGTAGCCAGAAACTGTAAGTCCACCTAGGATTAAATAGCAAGTGTCAAGTCCAGGTTTACATCCAGATTTCCTCATTCCCCTACTCTTACCCTGCCTGTTGCACCATGCTGTCCTTTCAGAGCATGCTTGTTCAATAATCTGTTTCCATCCATTGTAACCAGTTATGTATGCATCAGGCACTGCTCATTATCTCACTAACTCGCTAAAGCAATCTTTAAAGAGCTATTATCTACTGCAGTTTGTACATGAAGACCCAGCAGCTTAGACGAGACTGGGTCACTGCTCGAGAGTCTGATCCCTAAGCCATGTTCCTTGTACCAGGGCACCCTCCTTTCTAAAAATGCTTCCCTTTCTGCTACTTACTGAAATTTCAAGATTCAGTCTACCTGTGGTTCAGCCTTCTCTCCCCAGTGAGACTTTCAGGCTCTTGAGGAAAAGATCTGTCCAATCCTTATCCTGAAAGCACCTAAGCTTAGTACCCTTGAAATGTAATCACTAGAAATAAAAGTTACGTGCTTTCAGCTAAAATAGAATGGAAATTAACTGATAAATTATCAGAACTTCTATTGTAATCTAAAACGTAATCATGGTTATTTCACACATATCTGTGTTGACGGAGAAATGCCAAAAACAAGTCCACATTAGCAAAATTTAATAAAGGTTTCAGCTTCATCTTTCTCTCTTGAAGAGCCTTCACAACAGTAATGAATAAAAAATAGTGGGTTTGACCTTCTCACCCCAATCCACTCATCAAAGGAGCATGAAAAACAGGCATAAAAAGGAGCAAATCTATTAAAAGATTAACAAGAAGTGACACAGAACTGGATAAAACACTGTCACAATGAAGTAACTAAAAGATAAACTAATCCACAATAGAATCGACTATTTAAAATCCCAGCAAATAAACATATTCTCACAGGACAATGGAAGGCAGTGTGGTTAATACAGCATTAAAGGGAGAGACAACTAAAACCAGAAATTTAAAACAATTACCATCAAATTAATGATGGTCAAAATAATTTTTATCTTTTACCCTCAAATAATTTTTCTCCCCACACAAGTCTCTCCTTTGCCCCTTTTCAGTCATTTTTGAACCCGGTTATATGCTTACTGAAAATTTTAATAATTGAAATAGTACAGAAAAAGTGAAAAGTATACGTCTTCTTCTACATGTCCCAATCCCAAGCCCAATGATAGTCACTCATCATAGTATACATATTCTTCCAGGCACTGTGTGTGGGCTGGGGGCACAGACAGTAAGACACTGAATGATAAGGGCAGAGGAGAGAAAGGATCCAGTGCAAGGGACAGTCAGTTCCGCAGCAACTTAAGTATTTACAGAGCCAGAAAAAGAAAGGCAAAGGGGTGGATGATTAAGAGCCAAAGAATCCACTTATGCTCACAAGCAGCAAAGGACCTCCTCCCATTCAAAGCTGATGTAAAAATGCTGGATGAAATGCTTCATATTGGAAACATTTTGAATCCTTTATTTATATCATGGTTCCGAAAATAGAGGCCCTATACAAATAATTCTGGCAACTTGTCAACAGAAATGAAAGCAGGAGCAAACAAAGTATCTTTCTTTAATGCATACCACATCCTTCCAGTTTTTTTTAAAAACTATGCACATATGCAAATATACATACATTTTATGCCTAACTTTCAAATAAAATTATTTTTAATCTAATCCCCTAAACTTAAAAATCTCTGATTTCTAAGTGAGATTTTCCTCACAAATGTATTAACTTGATCATTTAAACTCTTATTAACTAGAAAAAAAATTAATCAAAACGCAAACCAATAAAGTGTTCAAAGATAAAACCTTGTGGCAGGAAGTCTTTTTTTTTTTTTGCCAACCTTTTCATTTTTGTGACAAAGTAAAATAAATCCTCTAACTAGAATGTAAGTTTGATCTTAAAACATAGTCTTGTGTGTCTGCAATAATGCTTATTTTAAAAACTGATCACTTTGCCTATTCAAGACTGTTTATAAGGTGCATATTAGCACGAGTCTTAGCCTCCTTCGCTTAAATCCTCAAGGAGATAGCCTCTCTGTTTTTGCAATGTCAGAATTTCCTAAGTGCAAGATAAATCTCCCTAATTAACAGCCCAATCTCTCCACACTCTTCCCACCATGCTCCCTGAACCCTGAGCTCCAGTCAAAGGGAAAGGAAACCAGTTAAAATTTCTTGAATGCACCGGGTTCTCGTGAGACTTCAGGTGAAGCCAAGTGGTAACTTTTGCTGGAACACAACTCCATTCAATTCTCTTCCTTCCTCCTCCTGTTTTATTCTTATCCACCCTTTACTCCTCTAACTCTTACTCCTCCTTCAAGATTGCACTGGGGTATGTTCTCTTTCAGGAAGTTGTCCACCCCTTCCACTCCCACCCCTACCCCACCTTATTCTTTTTACAGCATCCCTTGGGATTACTACAGGAAATTTATGGTGGTTAAAAATCAAGATTTTTGTTGTAGAAATCAAAATTTCTACTTTAAATAAATCATGATTTCACTATGTGTTATTACCTTCTAACACCAGAACTGCTGCCAAGAAAAAGTGAGGAACTGTCTTTTTGAAACTTTCTGGCATCACTGCAGTTAAAACAAGTTTTAAAGAAAGAATATGTTGAACTAAGAAAAATTCTTTGACAGAACACAAGCACAAGAAAAGGCCCATCTACTGTTCTGAGTATAATAAGCATCAAAGGCATACAAATCAAAACAACACTATACACATTAGGAAAAAGTACTGGAATACCAGTAACCACTGTTAACAGTGACAAAGTTAAAATAGACATGTCGCTAGAGATAATGGATATTGTTTCATTTTAGGGGGAGAAAAAAACCATTGGCAGGTAAGCCAGAAAATATTCATGTTGTTGAGCTCTGCAATCTCTCTTTCGACATTTGGAAATGCATAGTTGTTGAAAGCAGGAGGGATTTTCCTCTGCCCAGCTCTCGGGCATCTTTCCTCCTTCAGCAGGTCCCAGGAGCTCTGCTGGTTTGCCCTTCCTTGTGCAGCTGTAGACATCCACTCTTTCTCTTGAGGTCCCAAACTTTCTCCACATCCTTGGTTCCCAAAAGACAATCAAACAGGACACACTGTGAATGCTCAGTTTTCTGATGCGCCACCCACTGAAATGTAAGTGCTTCAGGCCAGGAACTGCATCTTATTTGATTTTAGGATACTTAGTCCTTAGCAGAGGCTTAATCATAAATGTCAACCACATTTGAATAGGAAAATAGGTGGTAAAACAAACACTGAGACGTGATTTTACAATCTGTAATAATTGTCCAAAGATACTTACTGCAATGCTATTTTATTTTTAATTCGTTTATGTTTTTATCAAAGTAATATACATAGTAGTTAAAGGCAAATAGTACCACAGGCATATAAAGTGGGGGAAACCGATACTGCTTGACTCCATCTTCTTCAGTCCCAAGAACAGCCACAGCCACTTTCAATACATAGCACTGTTTCCCTCACTATTTCCTTATTCCTAAATAACACGCTCATATTGCTACTTTTTAATTTGTCAATCTTACGTAGTAAATGTTGAAGTCCTGTTGTGGAAGATGAGAAATCAGCATGCTTCCATTAAGTGTCTCTCCCATTTCCTTACCCCATTCTATGTACCTATTTATGTTCACATGTGTGTAT
Source organism: Homo sapiens (assembly GCF_000001405.40). Taxonomy (NCBI): domain Eukaryota; kingdom Metazoa; phylum Chordata; class Mammalia; order Primates; family Hominidae; genus Homo; species Homo sapiens. Next base: position 71,572,896 of record NC_000014.9, on the reverse strand, counting down.
ATTAGTTATATCACATAGCTATATATATTAGGATTTACGTTACTACGGCTATATTTGCTCAGTTGCTTACTTTACTTTTCCCGAACTTAGTAACAGTTTCATTTATTTTCATTTGCTTTATTTCTATATACCTACGCTTAATTTTTCCTACATACAACATAAGAAGCAAAAAAATCTTGTTATTCTTTCCACACAGTCAAAAACAACAGATTCCTATCAATTCCATTTCTCTTCCCTGAAGAACTCTCTCCTAGGGCTCTTCTCATGCCCCAATCTAGCTGCTGATCTCTAGGTCTCCTGAAGAGGTATTCTGGGGAACATCCCACCAATCACCATCCTGACAGTTCCTTTCTTTCTCTCCTGGATGGATCCCACGTCTCCCAGATTTCATTTCTTCTTTTCTTAATTCACTCCCTCACCTGGATGGACCACTACCTTCTTCATTTAGTAACTGCCTAAGAAGGGGTGCATGGGTGGTAAAAGCTTTGAGTCTTAGCATGCCTAGCTTTAAACTGACTGATGGTTGGCTGGGCATAAAATGACAGGTAGTAAAACATTTGCCATTAGAATTTTCAAGGTTGCTATGGTCCGAATATTTGTACCCTCCAACACTCATGTTGAAACTTAATCCCCAGTGTGGCAGTATTGAGAGGAGAGGCCTTTAAGAGGTGAGTGAATTATGAGAGCTGTCCTTGTGAATGCTTAATCCAGTCACAGATTAATGGGTTAATGGATTAATGGGCTATCATGGGAGTAGAACTGGTAGCTTTATAAGAAGAGGAAGAGAGACCTGAGCTAGCAAGTTAGGAGGCTCAGCCCCTCAGCATGTGATGCCCTCCATCGCCTTCTCGGGATGCTGCAGAGTCCCCACCAGCAGCAGCTGGACCTTGGACATCTCAGCCTCCATCTGTGTGAAATAAATTCTTTTTAAAAATAAACTATCCAGGCCAGGCACGGTGGCTCACGCCTGTAATCCCAGCACTTTGGGAGGCTGAAGCGAGCGGATCATGAGGTCAGGAGATCAAGACCATCCTGGCTAACACGGTGAAACCCCATCTCTACTAAAAATACAAAAAAAAAAAAAAAAATGAGCCAGGCATGGTGGCAGGCGCCTGTAGTCCCAGCTACTCCGGAGGCTGAGGCAGGAGAATGGTGTGAACCCGGGAGGCGGAGCTTGTAGTGAGCCGAGATTGTGCCACTGCACTCCAGCCTGGGTGACAGAGCAAGACTCCATCTCAAATAAATAAATAAATAAATAAATAAATAAACCATCCAGTTTCAGGTATTCTGTTGTAAGCAACAGAAAATGGACTAAGACAAAGGTATTATTTCATTAACTTCTAGCTTTTACTGTTGGAACTGAGCAGCCCAAAATAGTCTGATTCCAGTTTTTTTTATGTTATATGCTCTTTTCTGGATTTTTTTTAGGATCATCTGTTTAATACTGGAGTAGTCTTTGTGTTGTTCTTTTTATGGTCCTTGTACTGGACACTCAGTGGACCTTCACAACTTTCAGTTGAGTAAAATTTTATTTTATTACTCTTTGATTAATTCCTTTTCCTTCCCATTCTTTGTTCTTTCATTCTGTAAATGTTCTATTCATTGGACACTGGGCCACCTGAACACTTTCTTATTTTTTTCTCCTGCACCCTCCATTTCTTTATCTTTTTCTCTTAGGTATTTGAGAGACTTTTTAAAACATCGTTTTCCAACCAGATTATTTAATCTTTCACATTGATTCTTGGGCTCAATTTTGAAGAAATTTTGTGTTCTCTGTTTCTTCCGTTTAAAAAAATCATTCTGGCCAGGTGCAGTGCCCCATGCCTATAATCCCAGCACTTTGGAAGGCCAAGACAGCTGGGTCACCTGAGGTCAGGAGTTCGAGACCAGCCTGGCCAACAGGGTGAAACCCCGCCTCTACTAAAATACAAAAATTGGCTGGGTGTGGTGGTGCGCACCTGTAATCCCAGCTACTTGGGATTACAGGTGGCTGAGACAGGGAGAATTGCTTGAACCCAGGAGGCAGAGGTTACAGTGAGCCGAGATGGTGCCACTGCACCCCAGCCTGGGTGATAGAGCGAGACTCCATCTCAAAAAAATAAAATAAAAAATCATTCTATTCTTGTTTCATGAATGCAGTATTTTCTCTCGTCCTTCTAATAAACTAATTTTTTATGTTTCCATTTCATCTTCAGTATCTTATATTCCCCAAATTTACTTTTCTTCTGTTTTGTTTTCATCACTGTCTTTTACATGCTAAGTTTTGCTAATATGTCTGCTATAACTGGCTATCCTTTTGTATTTAAAATTGAGGCATTAAAATAGCAGACTGGGCCAAGCACAGTGGCTCACACCTGTAATCCCAGCTCTTTGAGAGGCCAAGGTGGCTGAATCTCTTGAGCTCAGGAGTTCAAGACCAGCCTAGGCAACATGGCAGAACTCTATCACTACAAAACTTTAGCCAGGTGTAGTGGCGTTCACCTGTGGTCGCAGCTACCTGAGAGGCTGAGGTGTGAGGACTGCTTTAGGCTGTGAGGTGGAGGTTGCAGTGAACCGAGATCATGCCACTACACTCCAACTTGTGTGACAGAGTGAGACCTCATCTCAAAAATAAATAAATAAATAAATAAATAAAGATAAATGGATTTTAAAAAAGAAAAAAGAAAAAAAATAGTAGACTGAAGCTCTGTGTGAGGCACGGCTTGTTGACTACTAAGTAGACTTCATGAAAGGGACTAAGTAGAGATCTAGTTGGTTTACCTGGGGAAACTGGATAGAGGGGAAAACACTATGACTTCCTAACATCTGCTTATCCTCTAAACTTTGTATCTACATCCAGGGAATCACCTCTCCTTTCGTTATACAAAATCTGCCTTCCATAGTAGAAGCTAAAAATGCCACAATGTTACTTAACATAGCCGTTCTTACAGACAGGGTGCAGACACACAGTCAGCCCCTCAGCCAATGAGACATGCATGTCCTGGACTCTGAATCAACAGTAGTGTCTAAAGAAAGCAGGAAAGAGGCGAATCCATTTACATGGAAGGTGGTGGCAGAAGCAGTGCCAATGCTGCACACTGACAACCTCAGGCAAGTACTGACAGTGGCAATGTCAAGCCAGACATCCAGTGTTCATGGGCAACACCACACCAGCCTACTTGTGGGAACGAGTGTTGTCTTGGCTACCTGGCCTCCCTTGTTTTTCCTATTTTTCGAACCCAGTTCTACAGCCTTTCCAGTGATTCTACAAGCTACTAAATATTATTACCATAAATTCCATTCCTTCTTAAATCAGACAGAGGGTTTCCCCTTCTATACTGGGGGACCCACAAATGCCATATTTGTAGTTCATTTCTAGGATACATTTCAGTGTCTCTGAAGAAGAATGGTTCCACTTCCCGTCTGACTGCCAGCATCCTGGGAACAAATCTCAGCAACAAAGGTTTCAAATAATTCCTATTTCCAGAGCCTCTATAATTACACTATGGTTAGGGAAAGGACCCCAAGTATCTACTTAAAACTAATTCCACCCCTTAGTGCAATCCTCCCAGCTACTTGGGACCCTCCAATCCTGGGGTTGCAGAGAGTCAACATTTTTTGGAATCCCTCAGTAAAGCCATTCAAGACACTCTTTTCACGTCACTAAATTAGTTAAATTAAAATTCATGCCCCTCTCTCTGGTGACAAAAATGGTGTTGATCATTCAAATCTGCTCCTATGTCTTTCCCCCTTACCTGTCTTCATACATTTTTTTTATATTCCTTGAGTAACACTGGCATAGGGCTTGATGAGGGAAAGTAAATAACTACACATGTTCAATGCAACGTATTTAACTGGAAACTGCTACACGATAAAACTGAAAACTATTGATTATAAAATATTTGACATATGCAAAAACATACCAGCCATCCAGATTTAATAACTATTAATCTGTCAAGTTTGCTGCACATCAAAAAGGAAAGAAACATTATGAATATAGCTAAAATATCAACTTCCCATCCCATGCTTCTCCTGGCCTCTCCAGAGGAACTGTCTTCCTAAGGACAGTATGCATTCTTCCGACACACATTTTGTTAAACTTTTACAAAACGGAAATGGACCCATAATAGTACTGTGTGTTTATGAAATTTATATAGATGGTATCATTTGGAATGTATCCTTTTGCAACTTTCTTTTTTCACACAAAATTATTATCAGGATTTGGCTTCTCTGTCTATGGAGCAGCCATTCCTCTTTCATTCCTTTACTTGCTTAATAAACTTGCTCTCACTTTACGGATTCACCTCGAATTCTTTCTTGCACAAGATCCAAGGACCCTCTCTTGGGGTCTGGATTGGGACCTCTTTCCAGTAACATCTTCCTAGCGAACCAAGGAGGAACTATGCTAAGGAGACCTCTGACCCAGAGGAAACAGTGCAACACCAATTGGTCAACTCTGGATACCACCTTTTGTCAGAACTCAGGCTTGTGAATGGCCCTCACCATACTGATGCTTTCTGACTGAGCTCCTCTATTCCCTGGATACAAGACACCCTAACAGTTTGGCAAGAATATCATCACACCTATTCGGCCTGAAGAAGTTACAAAAGATGGATTTTTGTCCCTCTACAACCCTTAGGATTAAGGGTTCCCTTGTAAAAGGGAGGAGAGAAATATGTCAGAGGTGTTCAAACCTGAGCGACTCCATCTTGTATAGAGGCTGGGTAAAATGAGACTGACACCTATGGGCTGCATTTCCAGGAGGTTAGGCATTCTAAGTCACAAGATGAGATGGGAGGTCAGCACAAGATACAAGTCTTTAAGACCTTGCTGATAAAACAGGTTGTGATAAAGAAGCCAGCCAAACCCCACCAAAACCAAGATGGCAATCAAAGTGACCTCTGGTTGTCTTCACTGCTCGTTATACGCTAATTATAATACATTAGCATGCTAAAAGACATTCCCACCAGCACTACTGCAGTTTACAAATGCCATGGCAACATCTGGAAGTTGTCCTATATGGTCTAAAAAGGGGAGGAACCCTCAGTTCTGGAAATTGTCCACCTCATTCCCAGAAAACTCATGAATAATCTGACCCTTGTTTAGTATATAATCAAGAAATAACTATAAGTTTGCTCCATTGAGCAGCCCATGCTGCTGCTCTGCCTATGGAGTAGCCATTCTTTTATTCCTCCAGCACTACTGCAGTTTACAAATGCCATGGCAACATCTGGAAGTTGCCCTATATGGTCTAAAAAGGGGAGGTACCCTCAGTTCTGGAAATTGTCCACCTCATTCCCAGAAAACTCATGAATAATCTGACCCTTGTTTAGTATATAATCAAGAAATAACTATAAGTTTGCTCCATTGAGCAGCCCATGCTGCTGCTCTGCCTATGGAGTAGCCATTCTTTTATTCCTTTACTTTCTACATAAACTTTCCCTCACTTTAAAAAAAAAAATTACTATCAAGATTTCTCCACGTTGCTACAAAAAGTTATAGATCCTTTATAAACGGCTTCTGTTTTTCCATTTTTTGCATACACCAGAATTTGTTGACTGATGTCTAGATTTCCAATTTTTTGCTATTAAAAACAATGATAGGAGGAACCTTCCTTTCACATCTTCTTTAGAAACATGCAAAAGTCTCTCTAGAGAGCTCTAGAATGGGAACTGCTGAAAGTTTAAGTTGGAGCATCTTTCAACATCCTTAGAGAAAGTCAAACTTCACTCCAAAGTTGTAACAATTTTACAACTCATAGTAATGTGTGGGGGGCCCTGCTTGCTGCCACAGCTTTGCTTTTAAATTATGACTAATATAAGAATATAAAGTGTTATCTTGTTGCTTTCATTAGGCTTTCCCTGATAATTAGAGAATTTTAATTTGTTTACTGATCTTACCCACTTATGTTCTGTCCATTTTTCTAATAGGTCTTTTTCTTCACTGTTACTGATAAGGTAGAATTCCTTTATATACTATGGATATTAACCCTTCATTAGACATATACGTCTGACTTTATTCGCAGAGTCTGTACCTTGTGTTGGCTTTTGTTTAAAGTGTATTTTTTATATATCTGTATTTGAAAATTTTAACATGGTAAGATTTGTAATTGGGTGTTTTGCTCTAAAGGCCTCCCAATCACCAATATCATACAGATGTCTTCCCATATTTTCTTCTAAAAGTTTAGAAATGTTCCTTTAAAATAGGATTAAATGGCTTTAATTCATCTAGAATTTACAGGAATATATTTTTATCATACTGTCCCACCACTACTTCTTAAATAGCCATCAATACTTTTGAATTACTGACTTGTATACAATGTCAAAAACAAGTTCCCGTGCATGTGGAGGTCTCTTTTTGTGGTCTCTCTTCTGTTTTGATGGTGCATTTCTCTCTCCGTGTGCTAATGCCACACCAATTCAAATGCCACAGCATTATAATACATCCTGCTAACCCCATTAATTCTACTTCCTCGGCTAATTTTAGAATCACTCTGTCAAGTTTCATGCCAAACACTCTTGGTTCTGCTGTTTCGTTTTTGAATTGCACAAATTTATAAATTAGTTTAGGGAACTTTAAATTATTTTTAATATTGAGACTTCCCACTCAGTAACATATACAGCTCCTATTTATTTAGATCTGCTTTAATAACTTTTAATTCATAAGGCCATTACATATCTTCTGCTAGGTTATTATAAAGTAAATTATTTTATTTTGTGACTAAGATCATTCATGTGATCATATTTTCTAATATACCGTTACTGGTGTACTACAAAACTATTGGGTTTTTTTGTTTATTTACTTCATATCTAGTAATCTTACTGAAGTCTTATTAGAGTTAATATTTTGATGATTCTCTTTAATTTCCCTAGTTAGACACTCATGTCATTTTCAAAATGACAATGTTTTTCTTTTGTTGTCTTATTGAGTTGGCTAGTAGTTAACATGGCCTAAATTTAAGATATAATGTTAAATTTAAAAATAAATATATTACATTCTACTCTGTGAACACATATTTATATATGCAAAAGCACAAGGACTTCAGAGGAATATGGAAAAATAGAAAGTTAATTTTTTGGAAGGATTTTTTTTATAAATATTTTCTATAAAGGAGTTTTCCAAAAACTGTAATTACTTTGGAAGTAATACACAGGAAATTACATACACCCCATAATTTTTATTAAAAGTAATGAGAGATCAGTAAGAAAGTTATAAAAACATGGCCAGAATATTTAAAGGAGGAGTAAATCTTACCATATGTGGATATTTATTTATGCAATGATACAGGATTTGACAACCCAAATGACTATTGCATATAATCCACCACCTTCACTAAAGGACATGGCAAGGAGTTTGTTACAGATTATATTATTATATTTCTTACTGCATGACTTTAGTGTGGAAAAGATATTATACTTTCAAAATTATTCTTGAAATGCAATTAATTTTTGCTTGATTACAAAATTCATGGAAGGTGGAACCTTCGGTAAAATCTCTAGGCAGGCCTACCAAACCCCTTCCCAAAACCAAATTCAGTATCTCTGCAATTAAGAGCACATAAGGAAAATAACTTCAAAAAAGTCTCCTGTAAGACAAGGTCTCCAGAGCCTAGCAAATTACTAAGAAGAAAACCAACAAAAACAACACCTGACCCAACTGAAAAGGTTGTGTTATATAAGACAGACAAAAATTGATCAACAGAATGAAGGGAAAATTGTTGGAGAGATCATGTGAATGGAAGACATTAGGATAAACATGAAAAACAAGACACTAGGATAAAAATGAGAATTTCCAAATACAAACTCCAAAAGAAGAAAATATTAACAAATAGAAAAGAGCCAATGTTCTTCAGAAGAGGACACACTTTTCTATTCCACATTCTCACCAACTTAAAATTTTTGTCAATCTGATCGTGTGAAACCAAGTACTCTTTATAGGGACAGAAACAGCAGGCATGGTTCACTGGATGAAGAGAAAAGACCAAAAACATACCTTTAAGTGAGGAATTAAAGTATGGAAAAGTAACGATAAGAACCTGTGAAAGTAACTAGTACTTATTTTACTATTAAGTTGACAGCTACACTAAGCGGAGAAAGAGCTAAAGAAAGAAGAAAGAAAATGCCAAGGATGGCCGGGCGTGGTGGCTCACTCCTCCAATCCCAGCACTTTGGGAGACCAAGGCGGGCGGATCACAAGGTCAGGAGTTCGAGACCAGCCTGGCTAACATGGTAAAATCCCGTCTCTACTAAAAATACCAAAAAAATTAGCCAGGCGTGGTGGCACATGCCTGTAATCCCAGCTACTTGGGAGGCTGAGGCAGGAGAATTGCCTGAACCCCTGGGAGGCAGAGGTTGCAGTGAGCCAAGATCGTGCCACTGCACTCCAGCCTGGGCGACAGAGTGAGACTCTGTCTCGGAAAAAAAAAAAGAAAGAAAATGCCGAGGATAAGAAGTCAGGACATCAAGGAAGAGGAAGAAGACTACACATTTTTCTAAATGGAGTACCTGCTGAAACAAAAGCAGACCTCCATGTATGTTTAAAAAAAAAAAAAGAAGAAAAAGAAAAAAAAAGTCACAGAAATACATTCATTTATGCACATTATACCCAAGAAAAGTATAGAGAGTATAACTTTAAGTTATAAAAGAAAATAGTATTAAGAAGGAAAATGAGGCCAGATATTGCAGCTCATGCTTGTAATCTAAGCACATTGGGAGGCTGAGGCAAGAGGATCGATTGAGCCCAGGAGTTCAAGACCAATCTAGAAAACATAGCAAGACTCCATCTCAAAAAAACAAATTTAAAAATTGGCCAGGCATGCTGGTACACGCCTGTAGTCCCTACTACTTGGGAATTTGAGGTGAGAGGATCCCTTGAGACAGAAGGTGGAGGCTGCAGTGAGCTGTGTTCGTGCCACTGCACTACAGCCTAACAGAGTGAGACTCCAGTTTTTTAAAAATAAAAAAGGAAAATGAGAAAAAAACATAACTAATATCTACTGAGCACTTTCTGTATGCCACTTTCTGTATGACTGTGGAAAGCACACTGCAGTATAAGAAGAAAATGCCTGGAAATATACATACAGTGCAGTAAGAATACACAGGACCACTGCCTAAGATTGCTGGAGAGTTACGAAAACTTTCACAAAGAAAACAGTGGAGCTGAAACTCTGAGGTAAAATAGGACAAACCTAGGAGACAGAAGTTCAGTAAAGAAGATAGTGTGTGCTATAGCAGAAAGGAATGAATTGAAATCCACTGCATTGTGAGGTAGTACAGAATAATAATAGGATTGAGAACAGAAGCAATGAGATAAATAGGTCATGAGAAGTAGCTTAGTTCAGATGTTACACTCAAAATCATTTGAAGATATAAAAGGAAATGTCATGTCCAATAAATCAAAAGGCACTGACTGTAATTCTTAAGGAGTCATAGTTTTAAAAAACACCTTAGTAATATAAGTGCAAAAACAAAAGCAAATTACTTTAACTTATTAAAAGAACCTCAGTTTGTATTAAGAAAGAAAATACGAAATCCAAGATGTACAAACCAAAAGAAGACAGAAAAAATTTTAAAGAAGATATTTAACAAAATCGTGTTAAAAAAAAAAAACGAGGAGGTACTATTATTGTCAAGTTTAAAAGAAAAACATCAAGCTAGATGCTATGATAAAAGAAGTATTTGTACTAAAACATGACATTTTATGTCAAGTAGTAATAAATAAAATCAAGACAAAAACTGAGATATAAAAAGAGAAATCAACTGAAACGAATCACAATAATTAGACAAATATTTATTGTATGTCTACTCTACGCCAGGTATTATTCTTAGTACCCAGACTACAGCACTGGTCAAACTGACAAAAGTCCCTGCCTGCCTTCCATGGAGTTACAGTCCAGGGAAACAGGCAGACAACAAATAAATAACAACATTTTTTGACATGCTACAAAGTGCTATGAACAATAATAAAGCAAGAAAGGGGGCCACGCCTGTAATCCTAGCACTTTGGGAAGCCGAGGCGGGCGGATCACTTGAGGTCAGGAGCTCAAGACCAGCCTCACCAACATGGCAAAACCCCACCTCTACTAAAAATACAAAAAATTAGCCGGGTGTGGTGGCAGGTGCCTGTAATCCCAGCTACTTGGGAGGCTGAGGCAGGAGAATTGCTTGAACCCGGGAGTGGAAGTTGCAGTGAGCTGAGATTTTAATTTCCTGATTAAATTAAGAAGTCACACATTATATGTTCCATACACATGGAAAAAAATACAAATAACAAAACATGAAATAAAAACCAGCAGGTTATCCAACGAATTCTGGGTTAAATAGGATGCCAATCTTAACATGCAAGTTACTGAAAAAGCTATTCTATTAATTGAGCATTTATTATGTGCTGAACACTTTAATAGCAACTTTGGATACATTATTGATGTACACAAATGAAGTTTTAGGCAATATTAGTAAATCTGTTAATAATCCATATAACTAAAACATGAAAAAAGTGTAAAAATCATTTAACAGACACAAAGTAAGCATTTAATAATAAAATTCTACATGAAGTTTCTTATGGGTTCTATTTTTGATAAACACACTTATTTTAAACAACAAAAAATTATTATTATTATAAAGACTGGGTAATTTACTATGTCCTAAAATGAAATGATACAAATATTAGGGAAAAATAAACAAAAGTATCATTTTTTTTCTGATGTCATAGATATGATACTTGTTATACTGACCATAGTATCCCCAAGAGTCTAATGCACTATCAGGCACATAGATTGAGACAATATAGTATATATATTATGAATAAAATATATAATTACTTACATTAAAAGTTTACACAAATTGTTCAGAAAAAATATTAATAGATCTTTGTGAGGTGACGTCTATGGCTAACAAATATTCTACACCAAGAATGTATCATTTTACAACGTGAAAAAATATACTGTGTTACTTAAGAAAGTAACAGACTAATCAAGAACAGAAGAATGCCATTTACAAGAGGAAAAAAAATAAGTAGGAAATATTTAGCCTGGGCCGGGCATGGTGGCTCACGCCAGTAATCCCAGCACTTTGGGAGGCTGAGGCAGGCAGATCACCTGAGATCAGGAATTTGAGACCAGCCTGACCAACATGGTGAAACTCCGTCTCTACTAAAAATACAAAATTAGCTGGGCGTGGTGGCACATGCCTGTAATCCCAGCTACTTGGGAGGCTGAGGCAGGAGAATGGCTTGAACCCAGGAGGAGGAGTTTGCAGTGAGCCGAGACCATGCCATTGCACTCCAGCCTGGGCAACAAGAGTGAATGAAACTCCATCTCAAAAAGAAAGAAAATATTTAGCCTTACTACCATAAAAGAAATTCAAAGTAATTCTTCACTTGTTAATTAACAAAAAAATTTTTAATTGCCAATAATCAATGCTGGGGAAATTGACAGAAAAACTTTTATTTTTATATCTTGCTGGTGGGCACTGCGAATTAATGCTATTGGATTGTACAATGCTATTGGATTGCGATCAGCTAAATGTTTCAAAAGACATTAAAATATGAAGAATCTAAAGAAAGTAATATACAACATTAAAAATAACCTATATAAAGATGGAATTATAGCATTGCTAATGGCAGCACAAAATGGAACTAAATGTATAACTGGGAAATGATTAAGTACATTGTGACACCAAAGCAATTTTTAAAGTACTATACTACATGGGAAAAATTTTATGATATGGTAAGCCTAAAAAGTGGAATATAAATGTATATATATGATGATCATTGCCCATGTTTTTTGAAAATGAATCTTCAAGCCATTTTAATTACAAATAAAACAAAATTAATCTTCTAGAGAGCTACTAAAAAGAACTCTTTTTAGAAAGCATAAATTCATTAAATAGCTTTCAAATTTCAATTTTAGAGTGTTATGACTCAATTCCCATTTCATCATATACTTAATAACAAGGAAGTCTCTAAAACACAGTATTTGCTATCCTAATATCTAAATCATCCCCTACAATGACAGGATATGTATGACTACAGAAGAATATCTGAAGAACCTGAAAAAAAATCCCTAATTTATTCCAGAAGACCAAGAATCAAGAAGTCAAAATGCACAGGGCTTCTAAGTTTATCTAATACATACTGTCCTCACTCCAGCAGGTATGGAAGACACAGTCCATTAACTAACCCATACTGTTCTCCCAATTCTTTACTAACAACAGATTCTCAAGTTGTTCAGGTGGGTGTGGGACACCTTGGTGTGTCCTAGAAGATACATCAGGAATTTTCTAAATTTTCTAATGGACTCTTTTGCCCTGTGGCCATGGACTGGTTTAGGGGTAACTAGTCAGGAACAGATTAGTCCTAAATCAGGACTAATGAAAAGTAAACAGAAGCCTGCAACACTCTTTAGCTTTCCTGATAAAAAGGGACTGATTCACCTAGCCTTTACCTGCTACCTTCTTACTCCCCCTTCTTCCTCCTGGAGTACATGGTACCTAGAAGAGCAACAGCCATCTTATCATTCATAAGACTAGCATGAGGAAAGATACCAACACAATCAAGGAAAAAGCTCCAGGGTCTCTTGTGGCATCACTGAACATGTGTAACAGCCCTGGACTGTTGATTTCTGGGGCTACTTTTTATGTGGGAGAATTAATTTCCTTTTGCTTATGCTACTAGAGAGGTTTTCTAATGCTTGCAGATGACTGCATTCCTGACACAAGTAAATCTGAATAGGTAAATATGAATTTTATTCACAAATACTTAACAATTTAATTTTTACTAAAAGTAGACAATATTTTGATCAAAGATAAAGTTTAAACAGAAGTTTGCAAGTAGAATGAAGAAACGAATGAACACATTAATGGTAGGTAGATTACAGTAGGGTCTTAAGATGCATCTTTAAATTCAGTTACAATAATCAGAGTCCACTAAAAAATATACAAATATCTTACATATGGAGCATAAATTTAGTGTGTTAATGAAAAAGTCTCACTCCCCCAGCCTATTTTTCAATGATTATTCAAGGACAAGTTTTCCATGTCAAGTCCAGTTCAGTAACATGAAGTGAAACTTTATACAAAAAAAAAAAAGTTTATATAATTCTACTTTGAATGGGAATAAACTTATTTTTTCAATAGTTAGAAAACATGCTTTTGGAAATTTTAAGAATTACATTTTAATTTCGTAGAAAAAATGCAGAAAAGTTTTTATTCTGTTCACAACCATAGATCAGGTTAAAAGCATACTCATGATAAATCAGGAACCAGGTCAAAATCTTTTGGCTTTAAAAACAATTGTTCTTTTTATTACTCTATACTTATTTGGCAGGTAAAGAAAATGTTACAGTGTTTCACATAACATCTCTATGAGACCCTTACCACCATAAATGATAAAATCATGAATGCTTGACAATATTTTACAACAATCCTGGCATAAAATTTTTCTGGGAGAGTCCAATGCCACTGGGCAGGGGAAAATCTATAAAAAGTACCTATTATTAAGAAAAGTTGGAAAAACTTCCTTTTGATGCCTTTCTCTACAAAAAGTAAAGCTGAGGCTGGGCACAGTGGTTCAAGACTATAATCTCAGCACTTTGGGAGGCCGAGGCGGGCAGATCACCTGAGGTCAGGAGTTCAAGACCAGCCTGGCCAACATGGCGAAACCACCTCTCTACTAAAAATACAAAAATTAGCTGGGTCTGGTGGCGCATGCCTGTAATCCCAGGTACTCGGGAGGCTGAGGTAGTAGAATCGCTTGAACCAGGGAGGCGGAGGTTGCAATGAGCTGAGATAGCGCCACTGCACTCCAGCCTGGGAGATAAGAGTGTGACTCCATCTCAAGAAAAAAAAAAAAAAAAGTAAAGCTGAAATTACGATTGAGTAGAAAATGAAAATGTTGACATCTGCTGCTAGTTTGCATGCATCAAAATGCTTCGGCAAGGCCAAGTGCCCTGGCTTACACCAGTAATCCCAACATTTTGGGAGGTCAATGCAGGAGGATCACTTGAGGCCAGGAGCTTGAGATCAGCCTTGGCAATACAGCAAGACCGTGTCTCTACAAAAAATAAGAAACTTAGCCAAGTGTAGCGGCGTGCACCTGTAGTCTCAGCTATTTAGGAGGCTCAGGTAGGAGACTTGGTTGACCCTGGAGGTTTGAGTATATAGTGAGCCATGACTGTGCCACTGTACTTCAGCCTGGGTGACAGAGCAAATCCTGTCTCTAAAAAAACAAAAACAAAATGCTTCAGGAAATTAAAAAGAGACTCCCAGATTATCTAGATTCACAAACTAAACCTACATCAGCAAACTACCTAAGTGCACATATGCCCGTTCAACAGCAACCACGGCTTTCACCAGCCTTCCACGCCATTTCTGATTACAGTTCTGGTTACAGCCAAGTGAAAACAGAGAGAGTGGTTAGCTAAGGCTCTTTAGTAACCTTCTCCCAGGAGAGAAATCTACCTTGAAACATGATGGAGCTCTCCACTGTCTGTAGTTTCCTACTGTCTCCTAAAAACCTATCACTCTTGATGTTATCCAGAAAATTAATGGCAAAGGTAAACCCAGGTTCATCTTTAGAAAAACAATGCTCTCTATATAGTCATGAGATCACCAAACATCTCATACAATGGCTGGTAAATTCTAGGTACTCAAGCAGAAGTATTTCTTTTTCCTATAATTTTAAGTCCGTGCCCTGATATTCACTCAACAAATATCCATTATTCCATAAATATTTGAGGCATCATTCTACATGCTGAAAATACTGCCCTAAAAATGTTTATATTTACTTTGAGAGACAGACAATAAACAAACATATGATGTAAGAGTATCACTACATACTTAGGCTTTAAATTCAATAAAATATTTTTTTACCTATGTCACCTGGAATGCCAACAAGAATATTACTTCTAAAAGTGAGTTTTTGGTGTAAAAATCATGAGACAACTGATTTAAGTATCACAAACCAACACTTAATAATTACCTACGATGTAAGTTAGCAATATTCATTTTCCAGCAAATTGGAAGCATTTTCACTTCAATGGATTTATATATTTCTAAAAAATTGAACTTGTACAAATTAGAAATATAGCAGTTATCACCATAAACTATGTTGGCAGTCAACTTGAGCCTAATGCTACAATCCATAACTATCACAGGAAAGTAAGGTAGGTTTTTTTATATCAGTTACATCTGAAAAGAGTCACAATTTCTGGGCCTCTTAAAGTATGAACTCACATAGGAGTCAATCATGACTAGTTTAATTTTATTTTACTTTGTTCATTTTCATATTTGTATTCAATAAGGTACTTTCGCAACGATCCAAATGTAACAGAACCACAGATTAACACAGAATTAAACAGGCACTCACATCTCAAGTACCACATCAAAGCCAAAAGTTAACAATTAGTGCAAGTGGCCCCTTTGTGCAGAGAACTACAAAAATACAACCTGTAGTAACCATGATCAGCAGCAAAGTGCTCCTAATTCTCAAATAGTGGATTTCTTTTCTTATGAAATTAATGGGTGGTAAGGACTTAGTTTGAAATTAATAAAATATCAGGGAAAAAATGTGATATCTAATGGGGAAACATTTTCCATGAGCAAAACTAATGAAAGAAATCACAAAAGAAAACATTGACAGATTTGGGTACATGAAACTTTTAAACATCTGTACATTAAAAGGCAAACCAAATACTAGTTTAAAAAATACCATAAATACAACGCAGACTGAATACACTGAATATATGCAAAGATTTGTGAAGGAAGATAAAATACTAAGATTCCAAAAGAAAAATGGGAAAAGAAGTATTAATGGGTATGGTGTTATGATAGCTATATTGGTTTTTGTCCACAGTTCCTAGCTCCTAACTCCCACAGTCCTTGTTATAATGCTGGGGTACTTTAGGCCTCAGGAAACAGAATCTCTCTCTCTCTGACCTCCTGTCCTTTCACCTGCCCAAGGCAGGGCTCTAATCTGATTGTGGATCAAAAGACACTCATTCCAGAGAGTCCTGCTCCATATCCTACGGGAAGGAAAGCTACACAGAAAGGCCAAGAAAAGTCTGAATAGACAGGCCTTGCTGGATTTAGATAATGTGCTTTTTGTCCAATCACATTTCTACACGGTTGTCAACCAGGCCATGTAATAAAACCTCCTTGTATAAAAACCCAAAGGACCAGGTTTGAAGAGCTTCTGGAGAGGTGAACATGTAGAAGTTCTTGGAAGGTGGCACGCCAAAGGAGGGCACGGAAGCTCCGTGCTCCTTCCCTGATACCTTGCCCTACACAACGCTTCATCTGAATCCTTTGTAATATCCTTTTAAATAAATCAGTAAACATGTTTCCCTGAGTTCTGTAAGCTGCTCCAGCAAATTAATTAAACCCAAACATGGGGTTGTGGGAACACCAACTTAAAGTTGGTCAGTCAGAAGTCTGGAGGCCTGGATTTACCAATGATGTCCAAAGATGTAAGGGGCAGTCTTGGGGACTGAGCCCCCAACCTGTGGAATCTGACACTATCTTAGGGTGGATAGTGTTGGAACTGAATTGAGAACATCCAGCCAGTGTACGCTGTTTGGCATGTGGAGAAAAAAACCCACAGCTTTTGTCACAGAAGTGTTTTCTGTGTTGATGATTGTCATGGTGGTATGAAAGCAGAGGAAAGACACGGTTTGAGAGTTTTTCTGAAACAGTAGGCAATTCACAAAAGAAAAAATTGGTTAAACATTTGAAAAATGTTTCTGTTCAATAAATACAATACAGGCACACCTCATTTTATGGCACTTCACTTTATTGCACTTTGCAGGTGTTTTTTTTACAAATTGAAGGTGTGAGGCAACCCTGCATTGAGCAAGTCTGTCAGTGCTATTTTTCCAACAGCATGTGCTCACTTCCTGTCTCTGTGTCACATTTTGGTAATTCCCACAATATGTCAAACTTTGTCATATTATTACATCTGTTTTGGTGATTTCTAATCTGTGATCTTTGATGTTACTACTAATCTTTTGGGGAATGCCACAAACTGCACTCACAGAAGACGGCAATCAATCAACAAATGTCAAACAATCAACAAATGTCGTTTGAGTTCTGACTGCTCCACCCACCAGCCATTCCCCATCTGCCTCCCTCTCTTTGGGCTCTCTAGTCTCTGAGACCACAACACTGAAATTAGAATGGCCTCTAAGTTCAAGCGAAACTTGAAAGTGAAAGGAAGAGTCACAGGTGTCTCATTTTAAATCAAAAGCTAGAAATGATTAAGCTTAGTGAGGAAGACATTTGAAAGTTGAGAGGCTGAAAGCTAGGATTGTACCAGTTAGCCAAGTTGTGAATGCAAAGGAAAAGTTTTTGAAGAAAATTAAAAGTACTACTGCAGTGAACACATAAATGATAAGAAAGCAAAACAGCCTTACTGCTGAGATGGAAAGTTTTAGTGTTCTGGAGAGAAAGAAGATCAAATCAGCCACAACATTCTCTTAAACCAAAGCCTAATCCAGAGCAAGGCCCTAACTCTCTTCAATTCTATGAAGGCTGAGAGAGGTGAAGAAACTCAGAAGAAGAGTTAGAAGCCAGCAGACATTGGTTCATCAGGTTTCGGGAAGGAAGCTGTCTCCATAACATGAAAGTGCAAGCTCACCAGCAAGTTATCCAGAAGATCTAGCTAAAATGATTGATAAGGTGACTACAATAAACAACAGATTTTCAGTATAGATGAAACAGCCTTCTCTTAGAAGAAAATGTCATCCAGGACTTTCATAGCTACAGAGGAGAAGTCAATGCCTGGCTTCAAAGGTTCAAAGAACAGTCTGACTCTCTTATTAGGGGCTAATGCAGCTGGAGACTTAAAGTTGAAGCCAATGCTTATTTACAATCTGAAAATCGTAGGGCCCTTAAGTATGCTTTAAGAAAAATAAGAGGTATTAATTTTTATAAAATGTGCTCATTAGCTACTGGAAGAGTGAAATTGTTGTTTTTTTTTTAAATTAGGAATATGTATCGAGAGCCTTTAAAATGCTTACATACTTTTTTTCCCAGTTATTTTATTCCTGAGTATTTTTTAAGGAAACAATTCAAAAGACAAAATTCTGTGCAAAAAAAGGGTTCATCACAGCATTATTTAGGATAGCAAGGAGCTATAAACAACCTAAATGCTCCCAAACTATGTTTATAGCAATAAATATTATAAAAAGTGTGGTAGCCCAAGTGTAGCAGATCAGGGGAACAAGAATGAAATTCCCAAAACCTCACCAAAAAATTTTATGAAGAATCAAATCACAGGATGTTGTAATTTGTGAACTGTTATCTTTTTCTTATCAATATAGAAGTTAACAACAACAACAACAAGCTCTCTTTATACAGAAGGTCACCTGTGGGAAGTGTTACTCAAGAATGCTGAGAACATCTTCGGTTTCACAGTGGGGCAGAACTGACAGGGAGCTAAAGACTGAAAGCAACAGAAAAAGAACATCTTTTCTCACCAGCCTACATCAGAAAAGCAGATACATTTTTTTAACTTTCTTCTTTAAAAATCTTTATATTTTTTATTTTTAAGTCTGTGGTGTTTAAGTTGCACGATTTTAAGGTCATCTGCTTTTAAATTCAATATCATGGCTTCATGTGTGCAAAGAAAGCAGTAATACTGTTTAAAAAGAAATGAGGAATCTAAACTTCCTTAAATTAACATTTGAAGGTTTGAGCACAGTGAAACCAAGGTTCAATATCAAGACATTAATTTGTTCAGAAAAAAAAATACTGTATCTTAAACAGAAAAAAATCTCTAAACTACCTTTGCTGAACAGAAATAACGTATCAGTACCATGTTCCTACAAACTAACAGAAGATGCTACAGGTCGTAAATATTAAGAAAGAAAACTTTTTTCTCTAATTTTATATTCATTCTTGCTACATTTGAAAGGACTGAACGGAATATTCCATTCAGATAGGCCAAAGTTCAAAGTCTGTACCTGGATGAGGACATGAATTTCAAACACAAACCACAATCTGAAAAATAGTCTGTCTCTAGTTACTTTATACAAAACACTATGCTAAGGTCTCAATTTAAGAAAGCTGACAAGAATTGCATTTATTCAATGAATCAATCAGTTCTACACTAAAAACTAGGTTACATACATTCTGATATTTGTTTTCTATATGAAAAAAAAAGAATTGTATATGATGTAGAGTAGCCCTACCTAAACAATACAATGGGATCTCTGAAGCACAGAAATCTATAAAATGGGTTCAGGCCAAGGAAAAAGTCTCCTTCCCTACACATTCCTGGTATATTTTACCTTATCTCAGAATATCAATTCACAGGTCTGTTCAAATTATACTGTTAGCATTTCCTAAGAAAAAATAAGCTCTGAAAAACATGCCTTTCCTATCTTGACATCCAATTAAAACATTCAAACTAATACCCTATTTGGCTGACTGAGGTAAGGAGGAAGAGAAGAGAGGAAAAAAGAATGCAGAAGCAAAATGTTTTTTCCTCTTCTGTCATTACTGTTTTTAACTTAACATGTCTCAAAGTGTTTAGCTCCATGGTGATGGGAGCAGGCGAAAAATATAGAAACACTGAAAGAACAAATTCCCCCAGAATATTTTAGGGTTCCTAACACAAAGTGTACTGTGGAATTATAGAAACATACAAGTTGAAAATAGATTCTTATAACTTAGTAATGGTGGAAGATGAACAATCTTTCCTTATAATAGCTTTTAAAAATCTGCTACATTCACCCCACCAAAAAAGCTGAGCCAGATTTCTATCTGATTTTTTAAAAATTATTATCTCTCAGTATAAAGGAAATAGAAGAAAAAGTATTCATTGCTTAGAAGAGTGGATTTCAACAGGGGAGACTCTGCCCTCCAGAGTGACACTAAGCAGCATTTGGAGATATCGGCAATCTGAACTGAGGAGGCGCTATTGGCATCTCGTGGGTAGAGGCCGGGGATGCAGCTGAACATGTAATTCCACAGCCCTTCACAACAAAATTATCTGACCCCAAATGCCAGAGTCCTAAGGTTGAGACCCTGGTTTAGAAATACTTTCGACACTGAAATGTGCAGATTTATAACCACTCAAGTTCCAAAAGACAGTCCCTTAGGTCAAAGTAAGGAAGGAAGGCTCCAAGGCACTCGGTAGTCCCCACAGACTGATGTATGGAATGACTGAACTTTCATACTAAGGATACAAACTCAAAAGCTGCTGCAGGAGAAAAGTTCAACCATTCAATAAATTACCAGCTTAAAAGAAACAGGATCCCAGCACTCTGGGAGGCCGAGGCGGGCGGATCACAAGGTCAGGAGATCGAGACCATCTTGGCTAACACGGTGAAACCCCGTCTCTACTAAAAATACAAAAAAAAAAATTAGCCGGGCGTGGTGGCGGGCGCCTGTAGTCCCAGCTACTCGGGAGGCTGAGGCAGGAGAATGTCGTGAACCTGGGAGGCGGAGCTTGCAGTGAGCCGAGATTGTGCCACTGCAATCCGGCCTGGGCTAAAGAGCGGGACTCCGTCTCAAAAAAAAAAAAAAGAAATAGGGTATGGGAAAATACATTTGTAAATAAACCTAAAATTTTAGCTAACATAAAATCAGTATAACCTATTAAATGAAGATAATATCAATGATATTCTGTACCTTTTGTGGTAGTAATAATAGCTATGGTACAATTAATTTCCACTTACTGGTTCTTGCTTGCTAAAACTTTCAAGATCTCAAAGTTTTAATTAAATGGCTTAGGATACATTTATTCTTTACTACAATTAATAATATTTTCTGGCCCTTGTTCTGTGAACTGTCCTAAAGCCTGGGGAAAGGATGGCGGGTACAGCAATCAAAGCCATCACTCTTGAGGGGCTTACAGTCTAGTAGGGGAGAGTGAGAACAAGCAAATCAATAAACAAGATAAACGTCAGATGGCTAGAAGTGCCATGCAGAAAATTAAAATATAGTAATATGATCAAGAGTGGCTGGCTGGCTGGCTACTTTAAACTGATTTGGTCAAGGAAGGCCTCTTTGTGAAGTAGTCATTTAAGATAAGATGACTAAATGTCATGAAGGAATCAGTAACACAAAGCATGAATGTTCCAGGCAGAGGGAAGAGCAAGTGGAAAGACTCTGGGACATGAGCAAACAGCGTGTCCAAGGTAAAGAGTGCCAGTGTGGCTGGAGGGGAAAGGGAAATGACCCAGAAAAGAAAAGACAGATGGTGTGGGGCTGTGAGGAAGCTTGCAGGGCCTGGTATGGGGTTGGACTTTAAGAGCAACATGAAAGGTTGCAGGTTCCACATCACTGTCTCATGACATAACGCAGCTCAAGATCAAACCAGCTTGCATTAAGGTGGGATCAGCAGAGATGCAGAGAAGCAGACAGAGTTGGACACTTTTGGTAGTAGAGCCAACTAGGCATACTGATGGATTAGATGTGGTTAAGAAATATGTTACTGATGGGTTTAGAAAGAGATGAATCAGGGATAACTGCTGAATGCTTAGCTTGAGCAACTGGACAGATGATTCTCCCAAGGAATTTCAAGTGAGACAGAAACAGGTTTAAGGACTATAAATAGGGAGACTAGCCATCCTGGTTTGCCTGGGAAGAAGAGGTTTCCTAGAATGTGAGACTTCAGTGTCAAAACCAAGAAAGTCCCAGGAAACAAGGATGAGCTCATTACCCTAGACACACATCAAGGTTTTTGTTTTGTTTTTCAGCTCACTACAGCTTCCAATTCCTGGGATCAAACGATCCTCCCACATCAGCCTCAACTGATTTGGTCAAGGAAGGCCTCTTTGCAAAGAAGTCATTTAAGATGATATGACTAAATGACTAAATATCATAAAGGAATCAGCTACACAAGGCATGAATGTTCCAGGCAGAGGGAAGAGCAAGTGGAAAGACCCTAGGATATGAACAAACAGCGTGTCCAAGGTAAAAAGTGCCAGTGTGGCTGGAGAGGAAAGGGAAATGACCCGGGCACTAGCTGGAACTAGCTGTAGCTGGGACTACAGGTACATGCCACCATGCCCAGCTAATCTTTATTTTTTGTAGAGATAGAATCTCGCTTTGTTGCTCAGGCTGGTCTCAAACTCCTGGGCTCAAGCAATCCTTCTGCTTCAGCCTCCCTAAGTGCTGGGATTGCTCATAATTCTTTGTTGACCATGTTAAATTAGTGATGTCTATTGGACATAAAGGTGGAAATATCAGAAAAGTAATTGGAAATACAAGTCTGAAGAGTTGGATAAGCAGAGTTAGGAACAAGAGAGGCATACAGAGGATATTTCAAGTCATGCAACTAGATAACATCGCTTTGAGAGAGAAGAGAAACCAGCCCAGAACGGAGCTGTCTTTCTCTTTTTCACAGATAATATACTGAAAGACATCTGCCTCAGTCTGGTTCTCCATCAACACACTCACTGCCCTTCAGACTTGAACTCCATGTTTTGACTCTCACTTTCCAGATCTTACCAGAAAATCAGAAACACCAAGTAAAATTCACATTTCAGATGTTTTCAGTGAGCTAACAAACTGCTTTGCTTATAACTTCAGCTCTAGACTACTCCACACTATACCTTTTCTGAGGTCCTCTCCTAAGAGTCACAGAGAAACCCAGCTGCATGGAGCAAGTTTATTGTCCATCATTTCCCTTTGGCTTTTTTAAACTTAAAAAAAAATTTCTGTTTTTGAGACAGTGTCTCACTCTGTCACTCAGGCTGGAGTGCAGCAGCGTCATCACAACTCACTGCAACAAACTTCTGGGGTCAAGTGATCCGTCCACCTCAACCTCGCAAGTACCTGGGACTACAAGTGCACGCACCAACACACCTGGCTAATTTTTTTGAAAATTTTTTGTAGATACAGGGTCTCGCTGTGGTTTCCAAGTCTTGGCTTCAAGTGATTCTCCTACCTCAGCCTCCCAAAGTGTTGGGATCACAGGTGTGAGCCACCACACCCAGCTCCCTTCGCCTTGTCCAAAGCTTCTTTGCAAAGAAATCCCACTATTGCTACAGCCAAATGATTGGCCTCATTTTTCCTAATCCCAAGCAGTACTACTTCCCCACTTTTCTAATTATCTTCAGCAAGCATGACCGTCAACTTCCGCAATTAAAAAAACCAAACTCTCACTATTGAGGAAGAAATACATAAGAAATGGAGTCAACAAAAACTCTCTGAGGGCAAGTTTCAGTTGAGAGGGTCCCACTGTTCAGCACATGAAGAGTCTAACAACCTTTGCTTCAACTTAACTGGGTACATTGGAATTTATAAAAAGGAACAATTACCAGAGTGACCCAACAGATGGCCCATTAAACTCTGGGATTCGTACAATGTGTCTGGTGACCTATTTCAAGGAACTGGTTAGAAACCTCCCAATTGGCCAACTTGTGATTAAAAATACGAGATGTTTGCAGCTGACCTTCAAATCTAACTCTTTCTGGCCAATCTAGGCAGAAATAATAAGAGAATAAATAAAACATCAGAAATAATCAAAAGAGATCCTGGGACTTGGAACGGCTGTCAGCAGAATTACTTGGTTCACATATGGGACAGCTCCTTCTCTGTGAGGGCAAGCATCATGGCTAGGGAGAACAAGAAATCTCGGCATTTAAAAAAGAAAAAAAAAAAGGTAGTCTCTTCCCTAGATGATGAGGTGAATGAAAAGGTAGAATTCCAGAGACAGGCAATTAATGGGAATAAATTACACCTAGTAATCCCGATCTACTGATAAATGGACCTGTCACTGTGGGCCCCCTGGAAGGCCAAGGGAGCCACCAAGGTCACCCTTGAAAAACGCATTCCAAATCTTTCTCCAGCACTTAAAACCACTTAAATGCTGAATTATTTTAAACTCTTATTAAGTTTAATAAAAGTGAGGCATTTTTATCATATGTAAGGAAAAGAGAAAAAGCAGACTTGGGTTTAAAATTATAAACAATTAATAGTAACCTCTGAATTGATAAGGCTTAATTGCTCATAGTCAAATAAACTTTAAGCTATATCTCACTATATAAGCATGCCTTTTCATTTCACTTTTTTTTTTTTTTTTTTTTTGGAGACAGTCTCCAGGCTGGAGTACAGTGGAGCCATCCCAGCTCATTGCAACCTCTGCCTCTCAGGTTCAAGGGATTCTTGTGCCTCAGCCTCCAAAGCAGTTGGGACTACTGTCGTGTGCCACCTGCGCTCAGCTGGTTGTTGCATTTTTACTAGAGACAGGGTTTCACCATGTTGCCCAAGCTGGTCTGGAACTCCTGGCCTCAAGCGATCCGATCACCTCGGCCTCCCAAAGTGCTGAGATTACAGGTGTGAGTCACCATGTCCGGCCTCATTTCATTTTTATACTAAATACCACATTTACTTTCTTAAGAATATTAGAAATGTAAACATCCTAATGTAAATTACACTTAAAACACTTATTTTTCTGTTGATTCAAAGTTGATAACTACATTTTTAAGGCACACGTAACATTTCCATGCACACTGATTTTATCTGATATCTAAATATGATCACCACACTCCTCCCCACAAGGATATAAATAAAAAAAATCTACTGGTGATAAAAGACAATTTATCTTTCAAAATTATTTCAAATTTTGTAAATGATAAAAATTTAGTAAATAAAACGCTGACAGCAGACTTCATTACACAGTTGAGTTTAAAGACTTCTGACCTTACACTTAAGCAAAATTAAGCTATATGCCCTCATATTTAATGGATACTAAGTAGCACATGTTTGCCTGAAAGAAATACATAATTCAATTTGAAAAAAATTAAATGCCTTTGTTTCACCTTCATTCCAATGAAATCACTAAACAATGCCTCACATAACCATTACATTTGCAATAAGGCATTGTTCATGGTTTTATAATTTAATTATCTAAAAATAATCACTAGTTGGTACCTGCTCAAAAATAAAATCTATTCTGTGATGTCATTATGGCTTTACAAGAATAAGCAGAGCTACTGAATAAGAGAGGCAAGGGATTCTTGTGCCTCAGCCTCCCAAGTAGTTGGGACTACTGTCGTGTGCCACCCGCGCTCAGCTGGTTGTTGTATTTTTACTAGAAACAGGGTTTCACCATGGCAAACAAAAATGGAGCAACAGACATTGGTTTGGGTGAAGAAATGGAATGAAAAACCCAAGACAGGAATCTTGAAGTGCAGCTCACGAGCATCTGTTATTTAAGGAAAGGGTCTGCTCTGGGTACAGTAGCAAGTTAGAGAGTCATCCTACTGTCCAGCAGCGTGGAAGGAAAGAAGCCCCCCAAAGGAATAGTTGAACAAAATAATTATTATTTGAACAAAATAATTATTCTAGAAAATTAATACAATCCAAAACTATTTTGAGGTCAGGCACAGTGGCTCATGCCTGTAATCCCAGCACTTTGGGAGGCCAACGCGCACGGATCACCTGAGGTACGGAGTTCGAGACCAGCCTGGCCAACACAGTGAAACCCTGTCTCTACTAAAAATACAAAAATTAGCCGGGTGTAGTGGTGCACACTTGTAATCCCAGCTACTTGGGAGGCTGAGGCAGCGGAATCACTTGAACCTGGGAGGTGGAGGTTGCAGTAAGCCGAGATCATGCCACTGCACTCCAGCCTCGACAGAGCGAGACTCCATCTCAAAAAAAAAAAAAAAAAAAAAAGTTATTTTCATATTAAGTGACGAATCTTATGAATCTATCCAATAATGAAATATAAGACACATATGAACAAAAAATAAAAGTTATTCAATTAGTTCATTCATTCAAAAACATTTGAGTTTCTAACACATATAACATTCCATAGAATTTCTAAAAATCAGGACAAACAAGTTACTACCACCAAGAGCTAAAGAGCTATTAGGGGAGCTCTTTACACAAAAATTACATAGGGTACAAGGCAATAAGCACCACAATATAGTTCTGACAACTACGCTTCTGGCTAGATTTGGAAATTGTGGCATGAAAACAATTGAGAAGAGGTATAATCACATGTGAAGGAAAAAAAAGAAAACCGATCCTCAATCTTGGATGACTGCACAAAAGGAGCAAAAATAAGTGGTACAATCAACTCCTTCAGTAGGCCTTTTCACTGACCCTCACCAGATCAAGTGAGATGTCCATTCCTTCCAAAGAGGTCCAAGGGAAGCATCCATTACTTTCCATGCTTTACAGTGAGCTCTTTAAGGACAGAGACCATGTTTCATCAACTTGTATAGCTTCAGATACTAACACGGTTAGTCATATTGTACCTGCTCAATAAATATTTGATAAATAAGAATTCATTAAAAAAGGAATTCATTAAAAGCAAATGAATGCAGGCCGGGCACGGTAGATAACTTGATGTCAGGAGTTCGAGACAAGCCTGGCCAGCATGATGAAACCCCATCTCTACTAAAAATGCAAAAATTAGCCAGGCGTGATGGCGTGCACCTGTAATCCCAGCTACTTAGGAGGCTGAGGCAGGAGAATTGCTTGAACCTGGAAGGCGGAGGTTGCAGTGAGCTGAGATTGTGCCACTGCACCTGCACTCCAGCCTGGGGGACAGTGCGAGACTCCATCTCAAAAAAAAAAAAAAAAAGAAAGAAAAAGAAAAAACAATACAGAGAGAAGAGAGTAAAAGAGAAGAAGCTATGTTCGCAAAAGTAGAAGAGCCAAGGGGAAAAAGCAACAAGTAACTGCTTGGAAAAAGAGGCAGAAAACAGAAAAATGGGAGTAATGCAGTAACATCACAAGCACAAGAAAGCTTAATATGTAGATTGAACATTGTGAACTTAAAAAATAGGAGCTCACAAAATTATAGGGCTTTAAAAGCAGAAGCCACAGTGTAAAAAACCTAAGTATGAGACTTTTTCTCTCTCTCTTTTTTTTTCCTGAGACAGGGTCTCGCTCTGTTTCCCAGGCTGGAGTGCAGTGGGACAATCCCAGCTCACTGCAGCCTCGAACTCCTGGGCTCACCTTTTGCGACAGCCTGGAACTACAGCCATGTGCTATCAATCCTGGCTAATTTTTTATTTTTTGTAGAGATGGGTTCTCACTGTGTTGCCCAGGCTGGTCTTAAATTTCTGGACTCAGGCAATTCTCCCACCTCAGCCTCCCAAAGTGCTAGGATTATAGGCATGCACCACCATACCCAGCCAAATATGAGACTTAACAGTGAAACAATGAATACTTTTTTCTTAAGATCAGGAATAATGCAAGATGTCCATTTTCACTACTCCTACTTAGCACTCCACAGCAAGTTCTAGCTAGTTCGATGGGCCAGAAAAAGGAGTTTAAAAATGTATAAAGATGGAAAAGGAACAAATAAAACTGTCATTATTAACAGAAGCAATCATGATCACATATGACAACTACACACACACACACACACACACACAAATTAGAACTAGCAACTGAATTTAGGAGGTTTGCAGGATATCAGGTCAATACACAAACAGCAATTGTTATGTCTGAGTACTAGCAAGTGAACAACAAAATGGAATTTGAAATACACTACTTAGAGGATCACAGAAAATCCAGTATATCTAATGAAAATCTATATCTAATGAAAGATGTACAAAACATCTATATTGAAAACTACACAACACTGCTGAGAAGTTAAGTGAAGAGGTTCGTAAATGGAATACTCAGTATTATTAAAATGTCTATTCTCCACAGACTGAAAAACAGTATCAATGAAATCCCAGTCAAAATCTAATTGGCTTTTATTTATTTTTTTAATGACAAATGATTCTAAAATTTACAGGGATATTCAAAGGATCTATAATATACAAAGCAATTAAAAGGCAAGAATGAGGCTGGGTGCAGTGTCTCATGCCTATAATCCTAGCATTTTGGGGAGCCAAGGCAGGAGGACTGCTTGAGTCCAGAAGTTTGAGACCAGCCTGAGCAACATAGTGAGATAGCACCTCTACAAAAATAAAAATTAACTGGGCATGGTGGTGTATATTTGTAGTCCTAGACACTTGGAAGGCTGAGGCAGATAGATCACTCAATCCCAGGGATTCAAGGCTGCAGTGAGCTATGATCATGCCACTGCACATCTCTAAAAAATAAAAATTTAAAAAAATATAAAGTTAGAGAACTTAATTACCTGATTTGAAGCCTTTATAAAGCTACAGTATTCAAGACAGTGTATAATTGACTTAAGAACAAAGAGACCAGTGGAACAGAAGAGACTCACACGTATATAGTCGACTGATTTTCAACCAAGAACTAACTCAGCTCAATGGGAAAAGAACAGTATTATCAACAAATGGTACTAGATAGAAACAGGAAAACAGTGCAAGTAAACCTTAACAGTTGTTTCATTTCACACTCAAAAAAAATTAGAGATGGTTTATCAACCTAAAAGTAAAAGACAAAACCCTAAAGCTTCTCGGAGTAAACATAGGAAAATATCTTCCCAATATTGGCTAAGCAGATTTCTTAGGTAACACATAGTACAGCGTTAACCATGAAAAAAACTCAAGAAATTTGACTTATTAAACTTTTTGTTCATCAAGAGACATCGTTAAGAAAATGAACAGGCAAGCTACAGACAAGGAAAAGTATTCATAATATACATATCTGACAAAGAAATCATATATACACATATGATACATGTATATACACACACATGATATATGTATATACATATATGTATATACACACATGATATATATGTATATACACATATGTATATACACATATCATGTGTATATACATATGTGTATACATACATGATATATGTATATACACATGCATGTGCATACATGCATATGTATATATACACACACGTGCATATATGTACATATACACACACGTGCATATATGTATATACATACACGTGCATATATGTGTATATACATACATGTGCGTGTGTATATACATACATGTGCGTGCGTGTGTATATACATACATGTGCGTGCGTGTGTATATACATACATGTGCGTATGTGTATATATACATGTGCGTGTGTGTATATATACATGTGCGTGTGTGTATATATACATACATGTGCGTATATGTATATATACACACATATACGTATGATATATGTATATATACACACATATACGTATGATATATGTATATATACACATACGTATGATATATGTATATATACACATACATATGATATATGTATATATACACATACATATACATACATTATATACATATATAATCTTACAAATCAGCAATTAAAAGACAACGAAGATAATTTAGAAAAACAGTCAAGACTTGCAAAAGACACTGCAAAAAAAAAAAAAAGAAAAAAGTTACTGACCGCATGAATGGCCAATCAGCACATAAAAAGATGCTCAAAATCAGTCATCAGGAAATAGCAAATTAAAATCATAATGAGATACTATTAAACACCCAGCAGAAGAGCTAAAAGTTCATTTAAAAACTGATAATACCAAATACTGGTAAGAAATGTGGAGCAACTGGAACCCTCATGAATTGCTGGTGCAACTATAACATGGCACAGCCATTTCAGAAAAACAGTTGGGCAGTTTCTTACATAGTAAAATATACATCTATCCTATGACCCAATTATTCTCTTCCTAGGTATCACCCAAGAGAAATGAAATTCCATGTCAACAAAATGACTTGTACAAGAATGTTGATAGCAATCTTATTCCTAACAGCCAATAATCAGAAACCCAAATCTTAAAGGACAACTAAGACCTTTGCATTTTGTTGGATATATAATACCCAAATTTAAAAAGAACTTTTAAGAATTAAGAATAAAGATAAAAAAGAGTGATGGGGTAATTCTCCCACTCCTTCACTTTTTGTGACATACTGGAAGCAAGAAGAGAGAGAATGGAAAAGATCTGAGAGTGGATGGGGCAGTGGGTGCTGGAGAGGACAGGAAAGAGCCAGAGAAGATTTACAGACACAGAAAAAGCATGAAGAGATGAGGAAGGAGGAGTAAGTGCAATGACACAATTAGAGAATTCACATCCCAGAGAAGAGAGGGACTGGTAAAGACAGAACAAAGACGTTAGCTACAGAAAAGAGTAGGACTTCATAAAAGTTGAGAAACATACAAAGTTAAGAATAGAACACAGAAGAAATGAAGGGGCAGGGCACAGAGGATCATGCCTGTAATCCCAGCACTTTGGGCCAAGGCAGGAAGGAGGATTGCTTGATCCTAGGAATTCCACACCAGCCTGGGCAACATAGCAAGACTGTATCTCGTAAAAAAAAAAAAAAAGAGAGAGAGAGAAGAAGGAGGAGGAGGAGGAGGAGGAGGAGGAGGGAGGAGGAGAAGGGAGAAGGAAGGAGGAGGAGGAGGAGGGAGGAGGAGGAGGGGAAGAAAGAAGTGGAAGAAGAAGGGGAGGAGGAGGGGGAGGGGGAGGAAGAGGAGGAGGAGGAAGAAGAAGGAGGAGGAAGAGAAGGAGGAAGAGGAGGAGGAGGAAGAGAGGAGGAGGAAGAGGAGGAGGAGGAAGAGGAAGGACGACGAGGAGAAGAAGCAGAAGAAGCAGAAGCAGAAGCAGCAGCAGCAGCAGGAAGAAGAAGCAGAAGCAGCAGCAGCAGCAGGAAGAAGAAGCAGAAGCAGCAGCAGCAGCAGGAAGAAGCAGCAGCAGCAGCAGCAGGAAGAAGAAGAAAGAGGAAAGAAGGAGGAGGAGGAAGAGGAAGAGGAGGAAGAGGAGGAGGAGGAAGAGGAGAAGAGGAAGAGGAGAGGAAGAGGAAGAAGAAGAAGAAGAGGAGGAGGAGGAGGAGCCAGGCATGGTGGTGCACACCTAACTACTTGGGAGGCTGAGTGGGGAGGACGGCTTGAGCTGGAGCCCAGGAGTTCAAGCCTGCCAGTGAACTACGACTGTGCACTGTACTCCAGGCTGGGTGATAGAGTAAGACCCTATTTCTAAAAAAATAAAAATATAGAAATAAGGAGTTGGGGGACTGGGAAGTAAGTTCATTCTCTAGCAGGTTGGATCCATGGTCGTGCCATTGATTTCCTCCTGTCCCTTAACCCCAAAGTCAGTAAGTTATTACTGATCCTTACGTGTTTTAGAATTCCTTTGTGCCATCCAATGGGAAATATATGGAATGGGGAGCCTTGAGCTATTACTGTGCAATGGCTACAATACTTATCTAAAAATAATGACACAATAACTGGCACTAGAATCTCTGTTTTGAATGATGTATGCATTGTGTCAACATACCTTAATGTTTCTGTTGCTGTTGTCAGAGACAGAGTTTCACTCTGTCACCCAGGCTGGAATGCAGTAGCATAATTATAGCTCACTGCAGCCTTGACCTTCTAGACTCAAGTAATCCTCCTGCTTCAGCCTCCCAAGCAGCTAGGACTACAGGTGTGTGCCAACATGCCCGGCTAATTTTTATTTTTTAATTCTTATTTATGTAGCGATAGGGTCTCACTATGTTACCCAGGGTGGTCTCAAACTCCTGGGCTCAAGCAATCCTCTCACCTTGGCCTCCCAAAGTGCTGGGGGATTATAGGCATGAGCTGCCGCTTCTGGCTGAGATTAACTTTTATAGAAAGAAACATGCACTGGCCCATCTGTTTCCTGCTCTTTGAATGACTTGTTTTGCTACTTTTAACAAGTAACTATGCATTTGGGTCTTTATTTACTTATCCTTAAAGAGGAATTGTTATAGATATAATAAACATTAGAATCCTTACATTAGTCAATTATTCTAAAAATGAAACATGCCCTCTTGGTTAATGTACTCATCCATAGGCAGAACTTAACATTTAATAAATGATCCAATAAAGGAACTAACTTAACCTCACATGGAGCAGCAAATTATTCTCACCAGAAGGAGAGAGAAAAAATTATCTTCCATATAGCATAAATAAGTTCTTCTTCTTTTTTTTTTTAAAGATGGAGTTTCGCTCTGTCACCCAGGCTGGAGAATCTTGGCTCACTGCAACCTCCACCTCCCGAGTTCAAGCAATTCTCCTGCTTCAGCCTCCTGAGTAGCTGAGACTACAGGTGTGTGCCACCACGTCTGGCTAATTTTTTTTCTTTTTAGTAGAGTTGGGGTTTCACCATGTTGGCCAGGCTGGTCTCAAACTCCTGACCTCAGGCAATCCGCCTACTTGGACCTCCCAAAGTGCTGGGATTACAGGCCTGAGCCACCCTGCCCAGCCAGCATGAATAAGTTCTGATTAATGCGTTACAGCTTGGCTTTCTTTTCACTGTATATTTGAGTACTTTTTTAAAACACTACATGATTTTGCCCTAATTTCAAACAATGTCATGTCTAAATAACCATCTCTCTTGGAGGAGGAAAATTCTGTTCTAACAAGAGTCAGAATGTTTTCAGCAGTGAAACTGCTTCCCTTGTCACTGTATTCTTTTTCTCATTCAGCAAAGACATCACTTCCAAGACAAATGACACAACCTTTTTTTTGTTTGTCCTAGCTATAACACAGCACTTTTTATTTAGTTTTAAAATTTTTTAAATTTTATTTTTCGTAGAGATGCGGTCTTGCTATATTGCCCAGGCTGCTCTTGAGCTCCTGGCTTCAAACAATTCTCCCACCTCAGCCTCCCAAGGTGCTGGGATTACAGACATGAGCCACCACCAGGCTTAGCTGTACTTTAAAAAATCCAAAATTCCTAAAAACAAATTCTGTGAATCAGTTCTATCAGCCTTTGATGGTATTTTGATTTCAGTATGCACTGGAAATGAAGGAATGGACATGAATTCAGAAATGTCCCTCTAATCATGCAGTCTCACAACAGAGGCAGGATCAGCCCCGCTCTTCCCCTCAGAGGAACTAGCTGCTGACAGCAAGTGATTAGTGTTCTGAAACAATTCCAAGGGGCTTGTCAATGTAAACTATCGGCTGCTATAAGAAATGTCAAATCTCCATGATAAGGTATTTTTAGAGCTCCCCACCAGAGTCAACACAGGTTTACTATAAAATGCGAGAGAGCATTTCTGATGAGGAGTTGCTGCCAGTGCCGAAGCATTTCTCAGCCTGCTTCCAAATGTGGATGGCATCGTCCCACTGGATGAGGCGCCTGCTCAGATAATGTCTTGCACAGAGGCAGGCAGCTTCTCTTCACCCTTAGGGTGTTGCTGACAATATAGACAATAGTTCTGCTTTCTAGCTACAGTAATAGATTTAATTACTTGGCTATTTTGGGAGATCGAGGAAGGAAATGCCCCCCTCCCCAACTCTTCCTGCACATTATATTTCCTGTAGTCCAGGTCACACATCTCTCCATGGGAAGAGCTCTTCAAATCAACATATACAAATTGAAAAGCCTGAGGGCAATGAGTTAAATCACAAAACAAAAAGCATTATTCTATATAAAAGCTCGACAAAGGCTACAAAATCCATCTGTCAGAGAAACAGTCCTCTCTGAATAAGAAGTTAGATTCAGACTCTCTGGTCAGTTATTTCTCATGTGGCCAAGAACTTCATGGTCACTGCCAAAAGAAATTTACTGCCATACATAAAGGGCAGTGATTCTTCAACTTCTAAATATTATGAAATACCAGCAACTCATTTTAATGCAATATATGTCATATTTGTTCAATGTGCAAATAGTTTTCCATTGGAAAAGTTCCAAGCTGGCCTAATCGAGAAGTAGCTATTCTCTGGAAACAGTATTGTCAAAAGCAGCCATTTCACCAATGGAGATCATGTAGTGAATAGAGAATATTTACACTAGGCCACACAAGCAAAGAGTAATATAGTAAAGACAATATTCTCCTCCATTTCTGACACTTCTACAGCTTATGAGAGAGTGTTTTTATATTCATTATCTCATTTTGGAAAACGGGCCAAGGAGCAGGAAGGACTGTAGAGAGCATCCTTGAATGGAGTGTGCACTGACTGTCCTCCAAACAGACCACATGGCTTTATAAAGGTCACAGGAAAAACAATGCGGCTCTCTGCTCTTGGAGGAAAAAACGAAGGAAATCAAAATGAGTGCATCTTCCCTTGTGCTGAAAAACAGTTGAGAAATACTAAGAAGCTACTTTGTAGACCACTGTGTTCTCCCAGATTTGAAAGCAACCCTGTATGACTGCAGTTAATGATGTGCACATTTAATAAACACCATCAAAACAAACAAACAAAAAACAGTCTGAAGAACAGACTGTAACTACTTAAGAAATCAGATTTTCTTTGTTTCTTTCTCTCCTTTTTCCTTTCTTCAGTCATTTATCAAGCACTGCAACAGAAATGGGACTACTTTGCCGTCTTGTATCCAGCAAACACCAGAAAACAGACACAAACTCCAAAAAGCACCATGACCCTGCATTTATCAAGCACTGCAACAGAAATGGGACTACTTTGCCGTCTTGTATCCAGCAAACACCAGAAAACAGACACAAACTCCAAAAAGCACCATGACCCTGCCGCTATTACAACCTTAGGAAGACAGTGAACTTGACAATGAAGCTTAGAGACCTGACTTGGCAATAAGGACAGAGAGATCTGAAACAGCAAACTAAAGAAGGCAGAAGAGACACACTCAGGAGTCCAGATCCCAATCTGCCAGACTACACACATTTAACCGCCTTCCTTGCAAAGGATGATGTCCCTGTGTACCAGGTGGAAGGATTATTCCTAAAGCAATTATTCCAAGCTGTGGCTCCATACCACCTCTAGAGGACTCCAAGAATCTCAAAGAATTTGGTAAAATTTCAGAACAAAATTTTATTTCGGCTAATTTATGGAAGACTGAAGAAAAAAAAAAGTAAGAATAGTTAGAAATCACCTCGCTGGGACCAATTCTTACCTTAAAACCTGAAGGGAAAATAACTTCTCACTCCTTTTGAGAAAAAGGGAGATCTTAGTGTATAACAGTAGGGAAGAAGATTCAATTATTAAAAATAAAAACTGTTCAAATTATTTCATAGCCTCTTCACAGAACTGATGAAGGAGGAATTCATCTGGTAAGAAATTAGAAAGGAGAGAGTGAATCTTTTTTTTCCCCCTGCAGTTAACAAATCAGCAAGTCAGTCAAACTCTTAACTGACTATGCATTATAAAAACAAACACTGACAAGCTAGCTATTGCTCAAATGCCATCCTCAGACCCTGATGAGAAAATGGCAGTTACCTGGTCCAATTCAGGGTCACACAGAAACAGCTAAAGGAACAGTGGCAGATTTTACTTTTTAAGACTACAAATTCCTCACCTGAACTCTTTTTCTCTCTCATTTTCTTCCCAAATCTGGCCCACAACTTCATTCTTTACCTGAACTTGATTTTTACTACCATCCTCCACTTAGAAGAAAGTAAAACTTCTCTGTCAAGGGAGAAAAAAAAAAAGAGAGAGAGAGAAAAGGAAATGAAGATGCAGGGGAAAAAAGATAGCCCACTCGCCCACACTGAAGGAATGAGAAGGAGGAATGGGAGGCCAACTGAAAATACTTTATCTAAATCCTCTGAAAAGAGATTACACTGGAATTGCTTATCTAAAATAAAAACCTATCAGTCTGTCTTCGTGTAGAAGTAGTAAACTTAGCCAGGATTGGTGGCTCATGCCTGTGATCCCAGCACTTTGGGAGGCTGAGGCGGTTGGATCACCTGAGGTCAGGAGTCCGAGACCAGCCTGGCCAATATGGTGAAACCCTGTCCCTACTAAAAAAAATACCAAAAATTAGCCGGGCCTGGTGGCACACGCCTGTAATCCCAGCTACTTGAGAGGTGGAGGTGGGAGAACCATTTGAACCCAAGAAGTGGAGGTTGCAGTGAGCCAAGATCGCGCCACTGCACTCCGGGCAACAGAGCTAGACTCTGTCTCAAAAAAATAAGTAAATAAATAAAAGAAATAGTAAACTTAATAGAATCAGCAGCCCAAGGATAAAGAGATCATGTTGTAACTTGGTAAGAATCCAAGAAGTAAATAAACAGGGATGTCACTACCATTAGGGCTGTGAATAGGTAACTGAAATAAATCTAATGAGAGCTGTGCAAGAAAACCAACCCATGCACAACCCTAACATTGTGCATAAGAAGACAAGAGTTCAGAACTATTGCATATGACCATACAAAATCTAAATATTCCATAAAAGAAAAACAGGCAAGAAAGAAACAACTGCTACTTATTAATATTTTTTAACAAGTTAAAATTTGCGTATCGCTTCCTTCAGGTATTTAAATGCTAAAATCTCAATGTGATGCTTAAAATTAAAAACACATTATAACGCCAGAGAATCAACATTTGAGCATTTTCCAACAATACAACATTATAATTTAAAACTTGGCAATATTCGCCTAATTTAAATCAGTCTCTCAATGGAAGGGACTGCAACTGCAGAAGTGAAATCCAGCAAGCTACTGTTGTATAACCAAAAGATCTTCCAAGACAGTGCTATGTTCTTGCTGCTGACATTAACAGCTGCTGAAACACATTCTTTTTAAAATCATTTTCTTCCAGGGGTGGAGTTTCCAAAAGAATTCCAGGCTAAAATCTAAATAGACACTGTTCCAAAACTGAATGATACCACAAAATGCAGACTTCCTTTAAAACAACTTTTACACTCTTTACTTGGAAGAGAGGGCAGAGGACAAAGCTCTCATCATTTGCTCTGTTTATACCACAATGGCTTCAAGACAACAAACTGTGGGGATCATCACTGACCAACTGGTTGAAGTACATTATTGCTCATAGAGAAAGCTTCTGTTAAGCATAGACACTTAAAAGAAGCCCATTGGAAGTTAAGAGGGTTGTGGCATACTAAGTTATCCTGAGCATCAGAGAAGGAAACCAACAAACAAGCACTCGGAAGCCATCAAAACAGCACAAAGGACAACTACTTTCATATCCAGGGAGATGACTGTTGCTTACATAAACCTTTGTAGTGTAATGATTTGAAAGCCAGACTCTTTTTTTTTTTTTTTTGAAAGCTATTGTAAATTGAAGGATGAGAGAATGTTAGTGGAATAATCAGAGATCTTAGCACAGAATTCCTTAGATTTTACAATGTAGCATTGTTAAGTTACGTGAAGCTGCCGTAGGATGGCAAGGCAACAGACAGAAGAAGAGGGACATCAGATAAGATGTAGCAGGGGACAGATACACTATGTTAAAAACCATTTTTAAAAATCTAGAAGGGACCAGGTGCAGTGGCCCATGCCTGTAATCCGTGCATTTTGCGAGGCCCAGATGGGCAGGTCACTTGAGGCCAGGAGTTTGAAAACAGCCTGGTCAACATGGTGAAACCCCTTGTCTACTAAAAAAAAAAATTAGCTGGGTGTGGTGGTGCATGCCTGTCATCCCAGCTACTCGGGAGGCTGAGGCAGGAGAACTGCTTGAACCTGGGAGGCAGAGGTTGCAGTGAGCTGAGACTGTGCCACTGCACACCAGCCTAGGTGACAGACTGAGACTCTGTCTCAAAAGAAAAGAAAAAGGAAAAAAAAAAAACCTAGGAGGGATTCTGACATTCAGTTATCCCTTGATAATAACCACATGCAGCTTCTGGTGACTTGACTTTCCTATCTTTCCATCAGAGGAGCAGAAGGCATTCCTTTTAAAAGTATGTTATTATTCTACTCTTTCTATATAGCAGCTCATTTTATATTATCCCTTCACTTAAGAATCAAGAGGAAAATTCATGCTTACATAGAGAAACATGCCCTGCATAAGAAAAACACTTCCTAAAAAATCAATGGAAACAAAAGTCAACCAGAATAGGGCAGTTACTCCTTCAACAGGTGCTTTCTTTTATCTTAAATAAAATGAACACAGCTAATAAATACTTCCAGTTTAGAAGACACTAAGTCTAACACACACCATACATAGGTATTTAAGAGTTTCTAGCTGTCATCATCTCCAGCCAGTCCCTTATTAATTGTTGGCATAGGGTCCCCCTGCCCCTTCTCAATGGTGTGCTCTGTGTTCTGTGAGAACCTATTATTAGCCTATGTTAGTAATGGCCACTTCTGGACGGTAAAATTATAGATGGTTTTCATTTTTGTCTTTATGTTTACCTGCATTTTCTACTTTTTTACCAGTATGTATTATTTTTGTAAGTTACTTTTAACATTTGTTGAGAATAGTGTATTAAATGAGATTTTCCTTGATGCTCTGAACGAATACAACTGAATGTTATTCCAAGTGATCATCAAAATACAACTAAAGGATCAAATTATAGTAACAATGAATGCAGGATCTTGGCCTAAATCTTTACGATCAACAGACTCTATACACATGCAGAACAGATGAATGTACATTGGCTTCTCCATCTTTAAATTGAGGCCACTGCATAGTAATACAATGGGGATACCATCAAATTTAGGGAGGGAGCCAAATATTCAGATAGAAATAGAGACAGATGGTCTCTCTGCACACACTGTTTAGTAAAGCTTTCCATTTTACAAAGGGGGCACCTAACTCCATAGGCCAGACTAATTTTATTCAATTGGTTTGTGAAGGAAATTTTTTTTAAAAATGAGGTTGGGAAGCTCTTTCATCAGGGATTACCATTCATTCACAAAATTGGGAAAGCATCTGTTACTAGATGGAATAAGATATAATCACGCATAAAACTCCTTTAGATATTTTCCTACCCATTAAGAACTCTAGAAGTCTTGATTGAGGTCTTACAGCACTGCACCCACAAACAAAAGATATTTGCTGCCACGAATAAATAATTTACACGAGTTAATCTAGAAGCCATAAAGTATTGTTAAATTCCCACTAAGGTCAACCTTTCATGCCCCTCCATTTACATATTGGCTAATGACCCAATTATTTATACAAATGCAAACCAAGGGTAATGAGGTTGGGTGATTTGTTTTTGGTACTAAGGCATGGTCTCTTGGCTTACAATTGCCAAAATAGATTAAGTGAAAGGTTAACTGGGTACTAAGCAAGTTCTGTGACAAACAGGATCACAATTCTTAGAGAACTAGCACTCTTTTCTTATTTTTATTTTTATTTTTATTTTTATTTTTATTTTTTGTAGAGATGGGGTCTCACTATATTGCCCAGGCTGGTCTCAAACTCCTGGCCTCCAAGCAATCCTCCCACCTTGGCCTCCCAAAGTACTGGGATTACACGCATGAGTCACAGCACTCAGCCAAACTGGCACTCTTTGTAAACACAGCCTAAATGAAGGTTTTTGTAATTTATATTAGGGAAAAAATATTCACCTACCCACCTAATGAGGAATTTTATCAAGGGTACTGACTGATGAAATATTTTACCAATCAGTTTTTTAGAAACTCACTCTAAAGTCTTTCAATTTAACTCAGCATATGTTCTAACAATTTTATAATTTGAATATGTGATTTTCAACAACTCCAAAATGAAAGTGGCAAGGTCTGACAAATAGCAATGCCCTATACTAACAAAGACAACCTGAATCACAAGCATGTGCATGTACAACCGCAGACACAAAATGGCAGTTATGCCTTCACAACACAAAATTACATAGTGATCTGTGGCTTTCTTCTACTTACTGCCAAAGACGCATTCCTCTGAGATGCCTGCTCACATATATTCCAACATGAAAATAAGGGTTTATTCACATATTAAAAAGCCAACTCACATTACAAGTTGAAAATTTGGCCTTTTTGCTGCTGAATGAATAAATCTGCTTGTCCTTTTTAGAGCAGACACAGCGCTGGGAAAGAAGTGCTGGTAAAGACTCCTAATAAATTATCAGAAAAAAATGAAAAAGGGTACTCTAGGAAAAGTCTTCATTTTATGTCTATTCCTAAGTGACTTATAAATGCCTTCAACTTTAGAATATAATTAAAGTCTTGTTATAAAGTAAATTGAGACAAAGTAAGAAAACTTTTGATTTGATTTTTTAAAAATAAATGGAAACACTGTCAACTTACTACTTAGCAAACACACCAAAAAAATGACTTTCACCCACTTCATTGCCAGGTACCTAACAGGTCTCAATAAGTCTACGACCCAACATTTTCGAAAGGGAAGAGAGGAGTATCATATTTCCATTCTAAATACTGAGATACTGATTTGTGAGACTAGTTAGGAGGAAGCAAAACAGATACAATATGTTTCCAGGATTTCCCCTGCCTCCACCACCCTGTAGAGGTTAAGCAGAGGCTACAGATGGCAAGACAGGTC
The DNA here is from genome assembly GCF_000001405.40 of Homo sapiens. Taxonomy (NCBI): domain Eukaryota; kingdom Metazoa; phylum Chordata; class Mammalia; order Primates; family Hominidae; genus Homo; species Homo sapiens. The sequence goes on along the minus strand of NC_000014.9, from coordinate 71,532,924 downwards.
TAAAAGGTCTGAGTGGAGAAATAAACGGGAGCTGGAAGACAGGCCACACTTCCTACCTTCTCACAAAGGAAAATAGTATGGGAACCATGGAGGAATCTCCTAAAACTGACCCATGAGATCAGAACTGCTTACAAATGTCAAATATTCCACTGCTTTTCATTCTATCCAGGGAAAAAAAATTTACTTTCATCAGTGTATACGTACCCTCTATAATACTTTTAAAGAACAAGTCTCCTTTTCTAATTCTCTCAATTACAGAGGAGTACAAAACATTTAGTAGCATTCTGGATAATTTGTGCCAATTTAGATGATTCATGTAGTATTGCTTTTCCAGACTAAATGGTCTATGGCCAGTGCTTTCAAGTCAACAAGGGTGCGGAGAGCAAGACCTAATTACAGATCTGAGTCAGTGTCTAGAAGCTCCCTCAGCCCAGGGGGCCGTTCCCCACAAAGGCAGCATTTCATCTGGCGGTACAAAAACAAGCCAAGTTTTTGTACCACTTTCCATATTTACACAAGTCCTTTTGTATGCCATTAATATATATACAAGTCCTTTCATATATAAGAAAGAAGAAGACTCCATTCCACAAGAAACAAACAAAAAAGAGTAATATCAGTTCACCGAATTGATTTTTCAAAGAAAATTTTCAATAGGCTTTTCCCCTTAAAACCCAACTATAACATGCAGATTTTTTAAAAAAGAAAATGCACACAAAACATATTACACAACAACCAATACATTCACAAAGTGTAAGATCTTCAAACAATTTCAACAAAAGATGTTAATGTTTTCCTTCCTGTAACATGGATATAATATGTATAAATTAAAGGGGAAAAAATCTTTTGAGTTCACTTTTTTTCAAATGTTAAACATTTAAGTAAAAATGGCACCCAGAAAAAAAAACAAAACAGAAATTATATTGTTGTAAATTTTTCTCTGATACTTTATCAGTAATTAGGTTCTCAAGTTGAAAGGATTAATGATTTTTGAATGGAACTGACTATTCAGTTTCATGGAGGCAACATTCCAAGCAAGAGCAAAGGGTAACAGGACTCCCCCAATAGTAAGGGAATTAGTTTTTTGAATGCAAAATTTAAATGACTTAAGATTCATTTCAGGCCAGGCATGGTGGCTCACATTTGTAATTCTAGCACTCTTGAAGGCTGAGGCGGACAAAAAATACAAAAAATTACCCAAACCTGGTGGTTCATCATGCCTGTATTCCCAGCTAATTGGGAGGCTGAGGTGGGAGGATCACTTGAGCCTGGGAGGTCGAGGCTGCAATGAGCTGAGATTGCACCACTGTACTCCCGCCTGGGCAACAGAGTGAGACCCTGTCTTAAAAAACAAAACAACAAAAACAAAAGCAAAAGCAAACAAAAAAAAGATACATTTCACACAAGAACAAGATAGAAAATGATCCCTAAGACCCAATATTGGGTCACAAGGGACATAAAGGCACAACAAAGATTTCCAAGGAGGCTCCCAGATGACTGATACACAGTACTATTTCGAGGTGCAACCTGACAGCCAGTTCTTAGGAGTAGACCCCTCTTCTGTACTACTGCTACCAGTACAAAGTAACATAGTGACAAACTGACAAATTTAGAAAAAAAAAAAAAAGAAGTAAATTTTGTAGGCATAATGGCGAATTCTCACAATGCAGAAAAATGATGCCAGAAGCATCATTTGGACTACAGAATGAATAGAGCTATTTAAATGAAACAGCAACCAACACACTCTGAAAACCTCATTAATGACACAATTGATCTATAAGTATCCTGCACATTCCACACCTGCACAGGAGTGTAGAAGTAGATACAGAGAGTGAACTCAATGGTAGGCCAATTACCAGAGAAAAGTGCTTCGTATTAGTAGATAAGACAGAAAGCTATCAGCATGTTGGTTCAAACTCATTGACCATTCAAAACCTAAAACATTCTATCACAGATCACTAGGATACCCAATAATAGATCTTTTCACAAGTACCTAAGAACAGATTTATAGCCTCTTTCAGCGATCCTCAATTTATTCTAAACTCCCTTACGATTTTGAGTAATAAATGCACATAGCATCTACATTTACTCAAAGTTAAAAAGCATCCAAAAATCATACAATACACTATGTGGGAAGAACACAAACAAATGCATGGGAATAATAAAGACCAAAACCAGGATAGTGGCTTCTTGGGGATTAAGAAAGGGAACTGCTGTTAGAGAGAAATATCCTGGGTTTTTTAATGTTCAATGGAATTGGTAAACATTCGATTTCTCTATAGAGTGTTGAGGAGAGGTAACATGGATTTTGTTTTTCTGCTAATCAAAAAGGAGCTGGGGTAAGGATATTTGTGTTATGCCTTATATGCTTTTTATATTTGAAATATTCCTACTAATTTTTCAAGAACAAAAACAAGGAATTAGAAGGGTATAGACTGTTCTAAGAAAACACAAAGAACAAGTCTGCACTGCCAAATATGCACCTACCTATGCAAAGGGATGAGTCTGCCAGTATCCAAGACCCTTTTTAGCATTCACAGCACAAGTTGGTCGATCAGGACGCAAAACCTTCTGGGGGTGTGGGGGTGGGGTAGAATCTGAAAGTGATATATTTTATTCTCATGTCTTTGAATACTAAATCACTACCTGCTAACTGTTAAGAGTGAAGAGTATGCCAGTCAACACCAACACACTCTGCCAGTTTAATTTAATGGTATTATTTTGCCTTGCTTTGCAATTACTCCTACATTTCCCCAGGGAGAAACTAATGGATTACTAAAAATAAAATGGAGACTAAGTGAATCACTTAGGCTGTTTTGGCTCCTAACTCAAACTGGCTTAAATAAAAAGGAAATGTATTGGCTCAAATGCTTGGACGTCAGAGAAAGGGCAAGCTTCAGGGCTGGTTTCCTTGTGATTCTGGACTCCGTCCTCCACCCTGTGTGGCTTCTCACTCAGTCCGGAAGCCACAATGCTGCAGCTACACCAGACCTCACACCAGCGCACAACAACATCCAGAAGTAAGAGGCAGCTCTGTCCTAACCATGAGAAGCCTTCTGCCAGAAGCTCCAGGCAAACCCACATTGGAGCCACGCTGGGTAGAAAAGGATTACAGGACCATCTCTGAAACCATCCCCCTGGCCAGGTAACACTCAGCACTCACTGATGTAGCCAGAGTTCATGAGTCAATCATGGACAAGGCAGAAATGAGACTGCTCCTAATCAGGGCGAGCTGCAGTCAGTTCTTCAACCCCATAACATGAGGAATAGATGCAACGCATGATATGGATCCAACCCTAATGTTCAGTCAGTACTATTTACAGGCAATAGCCTGAGCAATACTGTATCAGAATACGAAATAAATCACTATTACACTGTATTTGTATATAAAGCTATAGATTCAAAAAGCAGATGACAAACGACTTCATCTCTTTGAGAAAAGTAGATTTTTTAAAATTTTGTTTCTATGTTTTCATTTCTCTAATCAGAAATTTAAACACAGAAAATCAACACTTTGTAAAGCAGGTAGGTCATAGGAAGTATGGCATAGTACTTACTATATTCTTGTGCCATGGCTACCGAAATTTAGACAACGTCCACACCAATAAGGTATAACCTGAAATAAAATTAGAAAAAAAACCTGGTTAAGTGCACAATAAATTTCACTAAAATACAATAGCTGTATAACTTACACAGGTCTTATCTTTGTTCTAGAAGAGGCAAACCAGCCTTTCTAAGGTAAATAGTTGCTTTTAAATTAGACATTAGAGAAAAATGTCTCTAGTATTATCATATTTCTTTCTTTTTTTTTTTTTAAGATGGAGTTTCACTCTTGTTGCCCAGGCTAGAGGGCAATGGTGCGATCTTGGCTCACCACAACCTCCACCTCCCAGGTTCAAGCGATTCTTCTGCCTCAACCTCCCTAGTAGCTGAGATTACAGGCGTGTGCCACCACGCCCAGCTAATTTTGTATTTTTAGTAGAGACGAGGTTTCTCCATGTTAGTCAGGCTGGTCTCGAACTCCTGACCTCAGGTGATATGCCCGCCTCAGCCGCCCAAAGTGCTGGGATTACAGGCATGAGCCACCGCGCCCGGCCTGTCTGTAGTATTATAATATTTCTAAATATTTTTAAGGTCACATGCATCTTTGTAGAGCTGACCATAACAAACCAAAACAAACAAAATACCTTTTTATCAAGTACTGTTGCCCTGGACTGCTATTTATAAAGCTGAAACAAAAAGGGGAAAAAATAGAATTATTATTTTTCTCTTTTTGAGATGGAGTATCATTCTGTCACCCAGGCTACACTGCAGTGGCACAATCTTGGCTCACTACAACCTCTGCCTCCCAGGTTCAAGCAATTCTCCTGCCCAGCCTCCCGAGTAGCTGAACTAGAGGCGCGCACCATCACGCCCAGCTAATTTTTGTATTTTTAGTAGAGACAAGGTTTCACCATATTGCCCAGACAGGTCTCGAACCCCTGACCTCAGGTAATCCACCTGCCTCGGCCTCCCAAAGTGCTGGGATTACAGACGTGAGATACTGCGCCCAGCTGAAAAATAGAATTATTAAACAGACCTCAAAAATCATGTAGTCTACTCACTACAAGACACAACTAACCTGTTCAACCCAATGCAATTTAAAGCTAGATAAATAAGCTTCGATTTCTAAATTCCTTAACTTGAAGATCTGAGGAGACAGTTCTCAGGAGAAAAAAATGCAAAAATATGATTCCAATATCTGATACTGCATCATCTTACTTAGTAAAATCTATGAATATTCAGCACACTATGGAGTGCTGAACAAACACACCCACAGAACTTGAGATTTTTAAGATGCTGGAATTGCTTTTAATATTCAAAAGGGAAAGATAATAGCCGGTACAATGGCTCACGCCTGTAATCCCAACTACTCTGGGGACCCAGGCACGAAAATCGCTTGAACCTGGGAGGCGGAGCTTGCAGTGAGCTGAGATTGTGCTGCTGCACTCCTCCAGCCTGGACGATAGAGCGAGACTCGGTCTCAAAACAAAAAAAAGGAAAGATAAGAACTCTGTCCTTATCCAAACCTCAGACCACATAACTATATAACAAACCACACTTTCAATTAAGAGGGACTGAAAAACATGAAAGTCTAACTAAGCTTTAAGACAATTAAGTTTCCAGGTAGTATGATGACAAGGCTGAGGATCACTGTCCATGTATCCACAAATACAGTGTCTAACTTCACTTGCCTCAGTGTGTGTGAGATTCAGCCATGTTGCTGTATTCATTATAGTTAATAAGCTTTAAAAAAAAAATTTTTAAGCATTAAAAGAAGAAAAGTGGACGCCTCAAAACAGAAGGAAATATTTGCAATACATATATCTACCAAAGGACAGATTCAGAACATATAAAGAACTCCTTACAAATTAATAAGAGGGCTGTGCACAGTAGCTCATGTCTGTAATCCCAGCATTTTGGGAGGCTGAAGCAGGAGGATTGCTTGAGCCCAGGAGTTTGAGAACAGCCTGGGCAACATAGCAAGACCCTGTCACTACAAAAAAATTAAAAAATAAAAAAAATTCAACATCTTCCTTGGTTTAAAAAATAAAAATAAATAAAAATAAAAAATTAGCTAGGCATGGTGGTGTGCGCCTATAGTCCCAGCTATTTGGGAGGCTGAAGCAGGAGGATCGCTTGTCCCCAGGAGTTCGAGGCTTCAGTGAGCTCTAATTGCACCACCACATCCCAACCAGAGCAAGACTCTGTCCTAGGGGGAGAAGAAAAAGACAAGCCACCCAAACAGAATATAAAAATGGCTAACAAGCATATAAAAAGGTGTTCAACTTCATGCATCACCATGGAAATACAAATTAAAACTACAATGAAATAAAATTACATAATGATGAAAATGGCTGAAATTTTAAAATCTGACAACACCAAGACTTAGGATGTGCAGCAATTCAACTCTCACACAATGCTGATGGGAATACAAACCGTAAAGCTGTTTGGCAGCATCCAATAAAGCAGAACATAAACATACCCTGCAACCTAGCAATTCCACTCCTAGGTAAATGCCTCCTGGGAATGTGCAAACATAAATCCTATACAATAATTTTCCAATAAGTGTTAGCTGTAATAGCCGAAACCCAGTAACAAATTGTGGAATATTCATATAATGGAATATTATAGAGCAGGAATCAGGATTTTTTTTTTCTCCTGTAAAGGGCCAAATAGTAAATATTTCAGGCTTTGCAGGCCATAAAATCTCTGTCCCTGTCACATCTGCTCAAACCTGCCTTTGGAGTACAAAAGCAGCCATAGACAATACGGGCTTGGCTGTGTTCCGATAAAACTTTATTTACAAAAACAGCCAGTCCACCAGCCTTAGTTTCGCCTGCTACACAGCAATGAATATAAATGAACCATAACTAATACAAGAACACTGATAAATCTCACAAACATAATGTTGAGACAAAGATGCCAGACACATGAAAGAATATACTGTATGATTCTGTTTTATAAAGTTCAGTAATAGGTAAAACTATGTAAGTCAGAATAATAGTTTCCACTGAGTGTAGGATGTAGGGGAAAATACAGACTGGGAGAAGGAAAAGGGGGGAAATTCGGTGGGCTAATAATATTAGATTCCCTGATTTGAGTGGTAGTTTCACGACTATGTTCAATTTGGAAAAATTCATTAAGGTATAAATTTATGATGTACTTGTCTTCATTCTGAATAAAAAAAGTAAAACATTTCAGTAATTATTATAAATAAACAATACGGGACACATTACTAAGTGGATGCTTTCTCATAGCATGCTATACCCAGATTCAAACACTGATGGAATGCAAGCCTTGTGCCCTCACAAAGCAAGTTCCTGAAGCTCTCCCTTCACATCTACAGTGTGATGTCTGCATTGCAACTAAACTCCTCTTCCAAGTTTCATGTAGGACTTGAGAACGAGCTATGATTAGATAGCGTACACAGGAGTGGCAGGAGGTAAACGCAATACAGAGGGAGGAAGGAAAGTAACAGATGGGTGAAGAGACTGGTAGAAATAAGTCCCTGCATTTTAACATAATCTGCTAAGTAAGCAATACAGAATTTAAAAAGTAACACAAACAGCTTAGAAACACAATTTGGAAGGTCACTGAACTTGCCTTTTGGACATTAAAAATAACGACAATTTAAAAGCTTACTAAGGCTCTTAAAAGACTGATGAAGGGATTTATTTCTGGTACAACAATTTCTTCCAATCTAACAGATTAAATAGACAGGAAGTTTCAACTTTTCAAGTGAAGTAGCAAACGTGGCAATGATACAGTCTTGACTTTCAAAGCTGACATGTTTTCACATTATGAGGATTTACGTTCTATTGTATGGGCTTATGTCATTAGTGAAATGAAAAGAGAAGAAATAAAGAAAAGAAGGTGAAAATAATTGAAATCTAGTCACTACAGGCTGGGCGCAGTGGCTCACGCCTGTAATCCCAGCACTTTGGGAGGCCGAGGCGGGTGGATCACGAGGTCAGGAGATGGAGACCATTCTGGCTAACACAGTGAAACCCTGTCTCTATTAAAAACACACAAAAATTAGCCGGGTGTGGTGGCAGGCACCTGTAGTCCCAGCTACTCAGGGGGCTGAGGCAGGAGAATTGCTTGAACCCAGGAGGTGGGGCTTGCAGTGAGCCGAGATCGTACCACTGCACTCCAGCCTAGGCAAGAGTGAGACTCTGACTCAAAAAAAAAAAAAGTCAGTTGGGCTACATAGCAAAACCCCATCTCTACAAAAAATACAAAAATTAGCCAGGCGTGGTGGTGTGAGCCTGCAGTCCCAGCTACTCAGGAGGCTGAGGTAAGAGGATCACTTGAGCCCGGGAGGTTGAGGCTGCAGTGAGCCATGATCATGCCACTTCACTCCAGCCTGGGTGACAGAGCAAGATTATTAAATGTAGGGAGAGTAAAAGGCAAGTGAAAAGAAAAAAAGGAAAGGAAGTTTTCCCATAGAGGTAAGAATGGAAATAAGTTTTGAATGATTACAGATAGGCAAGGTTAGGAGAATAGAAGTATCACTCTAGGCAGAGGGAGAGAACGTATGCATGGAGACATGAATGAGTCGGTCATATCTGAGGTATAATCACAAATCTGAGACAACCAGAGTGTGACGTACAAGGACAAGCTAAAACTGAGATGTGGCCAGGTGCAGCCGATCATGCTTATAATCCCAGCACTTTGAGAGGCCAAGGCAGGAGGCTACTTGAGCCTAAGGAGTTTGAGATCAGCCTTGGCAACATAGTGAGACCTCATCTCTATTTAAAAATAAACAAATAAATAAAACTGAGATGATGAAAGGACTTGTAAATCACACTGAAGTTTGAATTTTATCTTACAAGCATTATGGAACCATGGGAGTGGGAACTGGGGAATGAGAATGGAGAATGAGAATGAAGTGGCATGTCTCAAAATATATCTTTTTGCATAGTTTTGACATTTAGAACCATGGTAATGTTTCCCGAAATAAAAAAAGCAAACAATTAACATCAACCAGTATATAAGGGGAACCTAAAGCGAAACATAAACAGTAACAACTAAACTGCATTAGGAATACATAACATAACCACATGACCACCCTGAAGGGAATGCAGAAGAACTAACCACTGTGGAAGCCAGTATCTTGACTATAATAGACACTGAGGCTAGAGACAAAACAAATACAGAAAGGAGAAAGGCTAGAATGAATTTCATGGTGTTAGATTTGAATCAGCGGTATCACTATGAAATCATAGTTTTTAACATGTATTTCAACAGACAGGAACAGATAAATGTAGATATGTGTATACATACATATATTCATCTCCCAGCTCTGTCCTCTGAGAGAGCCTAAGGGTAATAACATCTTAATAGCACAATTAGCACCCAGACGGTGGTTTCTAAACACCATCCTTCAATAAAAAGAACCAGGACTACTTGGAGAGATGTCTGGCTGCAAAACTGAGACAGGGAAAATATCAGGTGAGCCTGAAATATCTTGTGGTGCCAAAAAGTAAGGAAGTGCTCAAAAAAGCTGGGGACTTCTTAAAAGGAAAGTGGAACCAAACTGAAGAGGCCACATCTGGAACAATTTAAAGGATTATAACCCATAGGATAAAACAAACATCCACAAGTCCATAGTGATAAAAAATAAATAACTGAATGTGTAGTACATGGAAGAGAAGGCCAAGCTCTTTCTTATAGGAAAATTTTAATGGACACATGCAAAAAGGATAATGGAAGTAGAAAAACCACCATTTGACAAACACCACAGGTTAAAGAAAATAAGGAAACATAACTAACTGTAATGTTTGATCCTGGATTGGACCACGGTCCAAACAAAAGACATTATTGGAAGAGTTGATAAAAAACAAATGCAGTGTAGAGATCAGTTAGCAGTATTCTATCAAGGTTAATTACCTGATTTAGATAATTTTACTATAGTTATGTAAGATATTAACATTTGGGAAAGGTGGGCAAAGGGTAGATGGAAGTTGCTTGACATATCTAACTTTTTTTTTTTAAACTCTGAGATTATGTCAAAATAAAAAGCGAAAAAAAGAAAAATATGGATAGACAAGGGATTCTGAGTCATAACTTTCATCTAAAATCTAGTTGCAGGCCTTTTTCTCTCTATGCCAAATATTAAAGCTGACAAAGTGTGATATCTAAAAAAAAACATATATGCATATATGTGTAAATGAGAAGTTTGAAAATATGAGCAAATAAGGGACTGTAAATAACCAAACAGAATGGAGAGAGAACCAAACCATCGAGAAATTTAAAATGTGATAACTGAACTTTAAAAAAATTCATTAGGTGGATAAATCACAGAATGGACACAGATGAACAGTGAATCAGTAAACTGTAAGACTGACCTTGAAAAATTACCCAGAGTGTTTCTCAAATAAAAAAATGCAAACCTTAAAAGAGAGAGTAAGGTCGGGTGCAGTGGCTCACACCTGTAATTGCAGCACTTTGGGAGGCCAAGGCGGGTGGATCACCTAGCCTGGCCAACATGGTGAAATCTCATCTCAACTAAAAATACAAAAATTAGCTGGGTGTGGTGGTGGAGCCTGTAATCCCAACTACTCGGGAGGCTGAGGCAGGAGAATCACTTGAACCTGAGAGGTAGAGGTTGCAGTGAGCCGAGATCGTGCCACTGCACTCCAGCCTGGGCAACAAAGGGAGACTCCATCTCAAAAAAAAAAAAAAGAGAGAGAGAAATTAAGAAGCTTAGATGATAGAGTGAATAGACCTAAAATCTGCCTAAAAGGAGTGCCACTTGAGCATTCCAAATCGGAAAATCTGAAATCCGAAATGGTCCAAAACTTCAAACTTTTTGAGTGCTGACATGATGCTCAAAGGAAATGCTCACTGGAGTTCAGGTTTTCAGTTTTTCAGATAGGGATGCTCAACTAGAAAGTATACTACAAATATTCCAAAATCTGAAAAAACCTGAAATCCAAAACACTTCTGGTCCCAAGCATTTCAGATCAGGGATACTCACACTGTACTAGAAGAAGATAATGGAGAAACTCTCTGGTATAAATGACACACCAATCCTTGAATCCAGAAAGGCCAGCAAACAAGAAGCAAGTGAAAAATCAATACCAAGAGACATAAAAGTAAAAATACTGACCACTAAATAAAAAACAATCTTAAAAGCAGCAGAGAAAAGAAAATCACCTACAAATTACCCCAATTAAGGTGATGACTTATTTCTCAAAAGCAACAATGGAAGCCACAAGACAGAGAGAACTATTATTTTCAATAAACTAAGAGAGAGAACTATCAACCCAGAATTATATAGCTAGAGATAATTCCTTCTAGAACAATAAACATTTTCAGGCAAACAAAACCAAGATTTTACCATCAACAGACACACAATAAATTATATGACTTTTGCACAGCAGGAAAATGATCCCAGATGACAGACTTAAAAAGCAGATGAATGGCGATACCACACAAAAGATGACAACCAAATAAAGGGTTAACAGTCAGATGAAAGATGACTGACCCCATTAGTCATGATAAATAAATCACAATGTGGTACTACTACCTACCCACTGGAATGGCTGAAATTAAAACCATGTCACTAAGAATGTGGAGCAAATGGGACTCTCTTACACCTTTGGTAGCAGTGTTAACTGATACGGCTCCTTTGGAAAACTGGCAGCATCTATTAAAGTTGAACATAGGCATATGCTATAACTCAGCAATTTCACACCTAGGTAGACAGCCAGCATAAATGGACACATATTTGTAGCAAAAGACACTAATGGGGTTCAGCACATGCTACTGCAAAATATGGCATCTTAGCATTTGAGAAAACCACAGAAGCAACCTTCTCCTGTCCTTCTACTATGAAGTAGGCCATAAAAGAATTCTCTAGCCTTCCTCTGAAGTAGGTCATAAGACCTTCATTCCACAGATACCCTCCCTATACCTGCAGGAAAGGAATGCCCTTATCTCTGAAGACACAGGGACATGGAGCAGCTGAACAAATAGGCCTAGTTTATTACCACTGCCTCATACTCCCTTTGCCCAATCAGACTTCTGCACAACTGTCCACTCATCATCAAATTTAGCATAAAAATACAGAGATGTCCCTGCTTCTTTGGGTCTTAATTCCTGAAAATTCCTGTGTCACGTAAAACTTATATTAATAAATTCGTATGCTTCTCTCTTGTTAATCTGTCTTTTGTGATAGGATGTCAGCCATGTACCTAGCCATTGGAAAGAAAAAGAAATCTTTCTCCCCTACAACATAAACAAGGATGTTCATAGCAGTGCAATTCCTAATAGCCCAAAACTGAAAACAACTGCAGTGCACATCCACAGCAGAAAGAAAAGCTAGGCTGGGCACACTGGCTCACACCTGTAATCCCAGCACTTTGGGAGGCTGAGGCAGGCAGACTGCATGAGTCCAGGAGTTCGAGACCAGACTGGCCAACATGGCGAAACCCCATCCGTACAAAAAAATTAAAAAATTAACCAAACATGGTGGTGCATTCCTGTAGTCTCAGCTACTCGGGGGGCTGAGGTGGGAGGATCACCTGAGCCTGGGAGATGGAGGCTGCAGTGAGCTGAGATCACATCACTGCACTCCAGCCTGGGTGACAGAGTGAGGCCCTGTGTCAAAAATAAATAATAATAAGGAAAGAAAAATAATAATTGAGGAGTTCCATATAACGGAATACTGTAACAATAAAAGTAATGAAATATTGCTACCTGTAACATGAACTATCATGCATGTAATGCTGAAAGAAAAAAGCCATATACAAAAGTATACACTACCTAATTCCGTTTACAGAAAGTTCAACACCAGGCAAAACTAATCACTGCTATAACTCGCAGGAGTCCCATCAGGGGCTTCCAGAGTGACACTTCATTTTTTTGATCTCGGGACTGGTTTCATAGATGAGTCCAATTTTTGAAATTCACTGACCTATCCACTTATGATCTGTGCTCTGTGTGTATATCATACTTCAAAATAACATTTATTTAAAAATAAATAATAAGCAAAAACACTAGCAAGAATATCACAGAAAGAATACTGTGTTCTCATGGCATCCTATCAGTGACAAACAATTTTGATTTGTATTCTTACCAATGATGTTCATTTTGATGAACTGATTAAGGTGGTATCTGCCAGGCTTCCACCACTGTAATTTATTCTTTCCCCCTTTGTAATTAGTAAGTATTTCATATGGAGGTAATCTGAAACTATATAAATATCTGGTACCTCATCAAGCTTTCAATTAACGGCATTTCATTATTTAAAAAAAATTTGTTTTTTCATTTTTTTGAGACAGGGTCTTGCTCTGTCACCTAGGCTTGAGTGCAGTGGTGCAATCACAGTTCACTGCAGCCTCGATCTCCTGGGCTCAAGCAATCCTTCTGTCCTCAGCCGCTAAGATTATAGGTGTGTGCTGCCACCACAACCAGCTAATCATTTATTCATTCTTACATTTATGTTATTCATCAATTTATTCAGTGGGTTATAATCCATTACTATTATTGTTTACTATAATTAATCACTATTATAATCAATCAGTCAATCAATCAATCTTTTTTTTCCATAAGAGACTAGGTCTTACTCTGTCACCCAGGCTGGAGTGCAGTGGTATGATCATAACTCACTCAAACTCCTGGGCTCAAGCAATAATCCTGCCTCAGTCTCCTGAGTAGCTAGGATTACAGGTGTGTGACACCATGTCTGGCTATTTTTTTTTTTAATTTATTTGTTTAGAGGTAGGGTTTTGCTATGTTGCCCAGGCTGGTCTCAAACTCCCAGCCTCAAACAATTTTCCAGCCTTAGCCTCCCAAGTAGCTGGGATTACAAGCATGAGCTGCTGTATCTGGCAATCATTTCCTCATTTTCTGAAACTACATGTTTTGGTCTCATTTCTCCAAGGAGTACTGGTTCCTTTTATTAGAGAATTGTATTTAGAAATCAAGATTAGGGTGCCAGATATGTTCATTGTTATTGGGGGATACTTTCAGGCACTGTCAATGGCAGTGCTAGGGAATATAAATGCATGTGTGTTATACATCTACACATATATCTACATCCATAGGATTTTATTAGGAGGGTTTTTGTTTTTGTTTGAGGCAGGTTCTCACTCTGTTGCCCAGGCTGAAGTGCAGTGGTGCAATCACAGCTCACTACTGCAGCATCAACCTCCTGGGCTCAAGTGATCCTCCCACCACAGCCTCCCAAGTAGCTGGGACTACAGGTGCATGCCACCACGACCGGGTAATATTTCTAGTTTTTTGTAGGGATGGGGTGATATGGTTTGACTGTGTCCCCACTGAAATCTCAACTTGAATTGTATCTCCCAGAATTCCACGTGTTGTGGGAGGGACCCCGGGAAGGTAATTGAATCATGGGGGCTGGTCTTTCCCATGCTATTGTTGTGATAGTGAGTAAGTCTCAAGAGATCTGATGGGTTTTTCAGGGGTTTCCACTTTTGTTTCTTCATTTTCTCTTGCCGCCGCCATGTAAGAAGTGCCTTTTGCCTCCCGTCATGATTCTGAGGCCTCCCCAGCCATGTAGAACTGTAAGTCCAATTAAACCTCTTTTTCTTACCAGTCTTAGGTATGTCTTTATCAGCAGCATGAAAACAGACTAATACACAGTGTTTTGCCATGTTGCCCAGGCTGGTGCTGAACTCCTGAGCTCAAGTGATCTGCCAGCCTCAGCCTCCCAAAGTGCTGGGATTACAGGCGTGAACCACTACATCCAGCAGGACATTTTAAAAACTCGACAAATTCCAATCAATGGTGCCAATACTAGTAACAAAAAGTAAAGAAAAAGAAAAAAACTTCACAAGCTGACTATATGTGAAGTTCACATGAAAAATCAAAAGCCCAAGAAAAATCAAGATACTACACATGAAGACAACAGTAATGAGGGGATCTGCCATACCAACTATTAATTATAACACAGTAAGACTTCCAGGTTAATGGAGAAAGGTTGAATTATTTAATAATGGTACTTGCAAATGTGTTTATGCATGTGGAGGGAAATTAAACTAGATTCCTGTTCTACTCTCTATATAAAAATAAATCCCAACTTAACTAAAGACTTGCATTTAAAAAATAAAATACAATTTTTTTTTTTTTGAGACAGTCTCCCTCTGTTGCCTAGGCTGAAGTGCAGTGGTATGATCTTGGCTCACTACAACCTCCGCCTCTGAAGCTCAAGCAATCCTCCCACCTCAGCCTCCCAAGTAACTGAAACTACACGTGTGAGCCATCAAACCTGGCTAATTTTTGTATTTTTTGTAAAAATGAGGTTTTGCCATGTTGCCCAGGCTGGTCTCTAACTCCTGAGCTCAAGTGATTCACCCGCCTCAGCCTCCCAAAGTGGAAGGATTACAGGTGTGAGCCACTGTGTCCGTCCAGCCACTGCAGCTCGCCTCATTCTATGTTAAAATAAAAAACTTCTGTTCATTAAAGGATACCATGAAGAAAATAAAAAGATAAGCCACAAATTAAAAATCATATCAACAAAATATAAGTATCCAGAGTATATAACTCTTATAAATGTATAAGATAAACAATCCGAGAGAAAAATATATAAAAGTTACAAAATACAAAAAGTCCTTCAATACAAAAAAATGATGCTCAGTTTCCTTCCTTAGTAATTAGGAAAATATAAATGAAAAGCACCTTTCACACTACTAGCTTGACTAAATTTAAAAAGTCAAACAATGTCAAGAATGTGGCAAAGCTGTGGGGCAATGGAAACATTCAGATGCTCTGGTGGGAATGTACATTGGTACAATCACTTTGAAAGGCAGTCAAGATGTTAGGTAGGCAGATGGTACGGCATATCCTACCATCCAGCAATTTCACTCTTAAATTTATGTTCACTGAGAGACGTGTCGCCCGGAGACACATATAATTGTTTATACCCACAGAAAACTGCAAACAACTCAAATTCCAACAGTAAAATAAGAAAACAGAATGTGGTTTTGTTTGCAGGAAAATCAGTGAACCATGATGTTAAATGCATCAAGTGAAAAAACTCAAGGGGACAATGTCCCTCAGTACCTATGCCGAAATAAATTTGTAATAAACCAAAAAAAATTTTTTTAATTACATTACAAGCTTACTGAAGACTGGGCCAGTATCACTTAATAGTCATTAAAAGCTTCCCAAAAGTTTTGTACTAGGTATTCTAGATGTTTCCAAGACATATACAATTATGTCCACCAAGATACAATAATGTGATCCCCCAGTTTTGAAAATGACAGTGAGTCCATGGCACACACTAGATTAAACGAAATAAAACAAAACCATAGATGTCATTTTTATTTATAAGAAGGTACTTACATTCCCAAACTTCAATTAAAACTCTTGAGAAAGCACCATTCACACTGTGGTTTTTTAAAAGAAAAAAAAATGTTTTTGTTTTGTTTGTTTGTTTGAGACAAAGTCTCGTTCTGTTGCCCCAGCTGGAGTGCAACGATGAAACCTCAGCTCACTGCAATCTCCACCTCCCAGGTTCAAGCAATTCTCCTGACTCCGCCTCCTGAGTAGCTGGGATTACAGGCGCCCGCCACCACACCAGGCCAACTTTTGTATTTTTAGTAGAGATGGGGTTTTGCCATGTTGGCCAGGCTGGTCTCAAACTCCTCACCTCAAGCAATCCGCCTGCCTCAGCCTCCCAAAGTGCTGGGATTACAGGCGTGAGCCACCACACCCAGCCAAAAAAAAAAAGGCATTTTTAAAAAAAGTAAGTCTCACACTTATAATCCCAACAATTTGGGAGGCTGAGGCAGGAAGACTGCTTGAGCCCAGCCTGGGCAATACAGGGAGACCTCATCTCTACAAAAAATTTAAAAATTAGCCAAGCATGGTGACACATGCCAGTAGTCCCAGCTACTCAGGAGGCTGAGGTGGGAGGATTACTTGAGCCCAGAAGGTCAAGGCTGCAGTGAGCTACGATGGTGTCACTGCACTCCAGCATGGGTAACAAAGCAAGACCCTGTCTCAGAAAAAAAGGTTAATAAAAAATCCTGCTATTTTATTACTCAGCTACAGGGACAGGTGAGATTGTTTCTCTCAGGCTCAGATCAAGTAGAGTGTATCAATTTGTTTAAATATGTATGTATTTAAGAACAGCATAATTTCAACCAAAATAATTAAACTCTTCAAATCAATATAACTGGATTTTAAAACAAAACCAAAAACAACATCACATGAGCAGAATGCTTAGAGTTCTATCCATGATGCGTCTGATTTCAATCAGCACTGGTGTCACCATTGCCAAGCTGACCTGATCCAAGTTAGAGTGAGGTGCACTTAGAGGCCTAGTAACCACCCTTAAAGCAAAGGGTTCTTTATACCACTTAAAGTTAACACATTTTAACAGTTTGAAAACATCATAAAGTAAACAGTTAAATTTGGCATCAAAGATAACTATCTACTTTTCTTGGGTTTAAATGCTATATAATAGGCCAGGCTTGGTGGCTCACGCCTGTAATCCCAGAACTCTGGGAGGCTGAGGCAGGCGGATCACTTGAGGTCAGGAGCTCAAGACCAGCCTGGCCAACATGGTAAAACCCCATCTCTACTAAACAACAACAAAAAAATTAGCTGGGCCTGGTGGCATGTGCGTGTAGTAGCAGTTATTTGGGAGGCTGAGACAGGAGAATGGCTTGAATCCAGGAGGTAGAAGTTGCTGAGATCGCGCCACTGCAGTAGAGCGTGGGAGACAGAGTAAGACTCCATCTCAAAAAAAAAGAAATATTATATAATAATGTTCAGAATTTAGAATATTATGGACCATATTATGTGGGTTACAGTATGTACGAAATCTTTAAAACAGATGGTAAGTTACATAGAGACATCAAGTGACAGTTCTAGCTGATTCAGCTCTAATTCATTGTTTGCTTTCTAACAGCACTATTTCAAAATGAGCAATTCCATAGCCCATAGAAGAGATTTTCATTTTAAGTAGAGGTGACATCTTTACTTATGTAAGAAGCAATTATACAGGTTAACAGAAAAAATGAATTGCTATAGAATACACTAGAGATATGTTTCAGCAAACCATTAGTTTTCATTCTCAAGGGTATGTACTAAGGGTATCAGCTTAGCAGTCACTGAATTTATTAAGCCGTAATTTTGCTACACGAATTCTCCATTCTCTCCTTCAGAGCACTCTGAATAAATCAGAAAGCAATGTTTGCTTTCCTCTCTACAGTAACAACTGTGTATTTGGCCTGAATTCTAAATAATCAGGTTCTTTATGAAATTTTTGGAATTTAGCCAATATACAGATCTTTTCACTAAACATAAGCATGAAGGAAAGAGGCTCAAATCATAACTTTCATATTTAACTACTCAAAATGGGGGAGAACAGCCTCCTCAGACAAGTAGGATAAACATGCACAGAACTCTCCATCACCATACATGCTCTCCTGTCACTAAGAACAGAAATGTTTTTGAGAACTCGAAGCACAAACATTCATTTGGATGTTTGATGACATCAGCATCTATAGTCTAAAATCTATTGATATAATCCTTAGCACACAGTGTCTTTTACACTGGTTGAGAGCACACTAGGTGTGATGGTTAGTTTTATATGTTAACGTGGACAGTTATTTAATAGAACACTAATCTAGGTGTTGCTGAGAAGGTATTCTTTAGAGGGGGCTAACATCTACCTTCAATTGCTTTAAGTGAAGATTATCCTCCACAATGTGGGTGGGCCTCATCAGAGTGTCAGAGAGGGCAGCTAGTCAGACACAAATAGGGCAGGACTGGGCCCCCACACTCCCAGGAAAGTTAGGCAACCATCAAGTGGTGGACAGGCAGTTGTCACACCGCCTCACTAAAATAACAATAAGTTGCAGGCAGCACCAGGGAAAGGTAGTCTCCCTATAGATAGGAAACACCTGAAACTGGTGATCAGCAGCTTCCTAATAAGTTCTCAATGGGTGGGTGAATAACCTCAAGCATGTGCATTAAGAGGCAAAATGGCAGAGTATGACCTTCTAGGGACATTCTGCTGGTAAGGGAAGAATGCCTCAGGCAAGCGTTATGTACAACTCCAGTAAACACACTGCACATGCTCCCCTCCAAGCACTAACAGACCACTGTGCATACAGACAACCCACTCCAAGGGAAGAATCAGGGCAGAAAGGACGCCAGACCCTGGAAGTATGCTAACATATAACACCCCAAGTCAAAAGGTCAAACCCCACACTTGTCCTTCAAGTCACCCTCAGTATCTTTGCAGATACTGCACCGCTTCCAAGTGTACTTTCTCTCCTTTTGTTCCTGCTCTAAAGCTTTTTAATAAACTTTCACTCCTGCTCTAAAACTTGCCTCGGTCTCTTCTTCTGCCTTATGCCCCTCAGTCAATTTTTTTCTTCTGAGGAGGCAAGAATTGAGGTTGCTGCAGACCCGTACGGATTCGCCGCCGGTAATGAAAGGCCTTTAGAGCAACAGCGGAGGACTCCCAAGGAAGAAGTTCTGCGTCATGACCGCAGCATCAACATCTATCTGCGAGTTTCTAGCCTGACCTACAGATTTCTAACTTGCCATCCCTAACTGTCATCCCTAATTGGCTTACTCGCCAATTTCTTTCTTGAAATCAGTCAGGCCAGTCTCAGTAGCTTACTCCTGTAACCCCTGTCCTTTGGGAAGCCTAGGTGGATCACTAGAGCTCGGGTGTTTGAGACCAGCCTAGGCAACATAGCAAGACCCCATTTCTATAGAAAAATTTAAAAATTAGCTAGGCACGGTGGCACGTGCCTTTAGTCCCAGCTACCTGGGAGGCTGAGGTAGGAGAATGAATCCCTTAAGCCCACGAATTTGAGGTTACAGTGAGCTATGACTGCACCACTGCACACAAACCTAAGCAACAGAGCGAGACCCTGCCTCTAAAACAAAACAAAACAAAAATCGGTCAATATCTATTTCCATGTCTGTATGTCTGTCTCTCTCTTTACACATATAAATATATTTGTATTTATAAACACACACACTCTGGAGAACCCTGACTGATACACTAGGTAAAAAGAAACACTATGTTTCTTCTACACACACCAACAAATTCCAACATCAAATCATCAAATAGGGAATGGGGAGTTCCACAACAACCAAGTGTCCAATTCTTGGCAGACACCAAGACACCAACCAGATGTCTTACAGTTCAATTCTACGGTGATACTGTCTACCTGGAGTTAGCTATTGATGAAGAACGCCAAACTCTGTAAAATACTTGAAAAGATTTACTCTGAACCAAACATGAGTGACCATGGCCTGAGGCACAGTCTCAAAAGGTCCTGAGAATACGTGCCCAAGGTGGTTGGGTTTCAGCTTAGTTTTAGGGAGACACGAGACATCAGTCAGTATATGTGAGGTATACATTGGTTCGATCTGGAAAGGTGGGACAACTTGAGGGGGTTGGGGGAAGTGGGTCTCAGGTGGATTCAAAGTCTGATTGGCAATTGGTTGAAGGAGTTACTATCTAAAGAACTGGAATAAACAGAAAGGAGTGTCTGAGTTAAGATAAGGAGCTATGGAGACAAAAGTTCTTACCACACAGATGAAGTCTCATAGGTGGCCGCCCAGAGAGACAATTGATGATCAGACCTTTAAAAGGTGCCAGACTCTCAGCTAATGTCTTCAGGATAGGGAGGGCCTGGAAGGGGAAAGATCTAGTTAACAGAGATTCTTTATAGATGCACATTCCCACCCCCCTCCCAACCCCCCCAACCCCGGCTTCCCCCCACACACAAAAGATGGCATTGCAGGGCCATGTCAAAATATGGCAAAGAACCTTTTTTTTTTTTTTTTTTGAGACAGAGTCTCGCTCTGTCGCCAGGCTGGAGTGCAGTGGCGCGATCTCAGCTCACTGTAACCTCCGCCTCCTGGGTTCAAGCAATTCTCCTGCCTCAACCTCTCGAGTAGCTGGGACTATAGGCACGTGGCACCATGCCCAGCTAATTTTTGTATTTTTAGTAGAGACGGGGTTTCACCATGTTAGCCAGGATGGTCTCGATCTCCTGACCTCGTGAAAGAACATATTTTAACGTAAAATATTTCCATTTCCTCCTTTATCTGTCATGTGATGTTATGCCAGTCAGGCTGGTTAAGTAAAACCCAGTTGATGAGATTTTATGATTTAGAGAGAGTGACTTCCCAGACCCCTGTAGGAATTTGGGCAAGAGACAAAAAGGTCAGAGTTTAGTCCTCATAGCTTAGATCCCACAAGGCTGTTCCTAATTCAGACGCTAACCATCAAGTCCAGGCCTCAGGTATTTCTTACCTACAGAAAATAAATTGCGTGGGAGGTGGGAAGGGAGTTTCCCATGACCCCCTCCTTGAGTTTGAGAATTTCCTAGAAGGACTCACAAAACTCCAGAAAACAGGTACTTCTGTTCGCCAGTTTTTTACAAAGATATAAGTGAGGAACAGCCAAATGGAAGATGCATATCGTGGGGTAAGGGAGGAGGCAAGCCCTCTCGGGGCACAGCACCTAAATGTGTTCACCAACCCGGGAGCTCTCTGAGGCTGTCCTTTTGAAGAGTTTTCTGGAAAACTCTCTAAACCTCCGGCCCATCTTTCCTCCATGGAGCTAACGGGATGGGATGGAAAGTTCCAAACCTCTACTCACATGACTGATTACCCAGGAAACCAGTCCCCATTCCAAAGCGGTTCAGGGGTTTTCAACCACTAGTCATCGTATTAATATACAAAAAGACACTCTTATCACTCCTGAGAGGTCAAGGGTCTTCGAAGCTCTTGTGTCAGGAACCAAGGACTAAGACCAAATACTGTAACAAAAGATGCTCCTGCCAGGAGCAATGGCTCATGCCTGCAATCCCAACACTTTGGGATGTAAAAGTGGGCACATTGCTTGAGCCCAGGAGTTCAAGATCAGCCTGGGCAACAAAGTGAGACCCCAACTCTGCAAAAAAAAAATAAAAAATTTAGCCAGGCATGGTGGCCCACGCCTGTAGTCTCAGCTACTAGGGAGGCTGAGGTGGGAGAATTGCTTGAGTCCAGAAGGTAGAGGCAGCAGTGAGCTGTGTTCACACCACTCTACTACAGCCTGGGCAACAGTGAGACCCTGTCTCAAAAGGAAAGGCGGGGGAGGGGGGCTGAAAATGCTCCTGTCATACCCTATCAGTCAAGAAGTTTTAGAAGTTTTAGATCTGTGCCAGGAACCCAGGTCAGAGACTAAACATATACTTCTTATGTCACACTAGGCAACATGGGAAACACTGTGAGTTTTAAAGGTTTTTAAATTTGAAGTCATACAAGGAAAAAGGCACTTTAATTCAATTCACCTGGGGAACAAAGGCATCCCTTGTTTACTGAAAGATCATACATAATGACTGAAATAATCCCCAACTAACTAAAAGAAAAGTAGATCAATGGTAAGTATACTAAACTCTCTGTATGAAAAACATTTCAGGGAAAGACAGGGTAACATTAGTTCTGATGTGGGATCTGGGGAAAGGGGAGGAGGGCTGGAAGAAAATCAGGCAAAGTGAAATGGAATGCCACACCTGAGCTGAGCTGTCAAGGCCCGTACTTATTCACTCAACCATTTTAAGCTAATAATGTTTCAGGACTATGTCCCAGATGTTTTACTTTGACTGTCTCATCGATTGGTTCATACCAACATTAACTGGCACATACTATTATTATCCATAATTCTCAGGAGGGATGGAGGAGCTAAATACACAATTCACAAAAGTGACACAGCTATGAAGTGGTACTGGGCCCTGATTTGAGTTACTGAGCTATATGCACCCCTGGCAATAATTCCCAGGCAAAACAATAGGGCAAAAACATTCTATGCCAGATAATCTTATGAGCAATGTCACAGACATATTAACAGTAAATAGTATATTATGTTTGAGATTTGTACATAAAGAAAGGGGATTAGGCCAGGCGTGGTGGCTCGCACCTGTAATCCCAGCATTTTGGGAGGCCGACCTGGGTGGATCACCTGAGGTCATGAGTTTGAGACCAGCCCAGCCAACATAATGAAACCCTGTCTCTACTAAAAATACAAAAAATTAGCTGGGCGTGGTGGCGGGCACCTGTAATTCCAGCTATTTGGGAGGCTGAAGCAGGAGAATTGTTTGAACCTGGGAGGCAGAGGTTGCCGTGAGCCAAGATCGTGCCACTGCACTCCAACCTGGGCAACAAGAGTGAAACTCCATCTCACAAAAAAAAAAAAAAAAAAAAAAAAGGTGGGGGGGATTAAGGGGAACTAGCATGAGCAGAAACAAAAAAGCAAGCTGTATAAAGAGAAAAGATTTTTGGTTCAAAGTTGCCAAGAACTGTTAAATAAAATTTACAGGAGGCCACTGTTTTGAACTGAGCTTCTGCATTAGGCTCCAGCAGGCCAGATCAAAGTGGGGGCACTTGTGTCAAGTTGAAACTTTATTAACAGATAAATCCCAAACAGGCCAGTGTTTCCAAAAAAACCCAGGAGATTCACAGAAACCAATCCAGAAGAGCCCAGTCAACCTGAACTGGCATGATACGGAAGTTCCTGTCTCTTCTGCTTTAACCCTTAAAAGAAAAGTAACCTGAAATAACCTGATGTTAACAAATCTGCTCTTTTATATTGTACTGTTTGCTTGAGCTTTCTTTCTTTTTTCTTTCTTTTTTTTTTTTTTGAGATGGAGTTTCACTCTTGTTGCCCAGGCTGGAGTGCAATGGCGTGATCTCAGTTCACTGCAACCTCCGCCTCCCGGGTTCAAGCAATTCTCCTGCCTCAGCCTCCCTAGTAGCTGGGATTACAGGCACCTGCCACCACACCCAGCTAATTTTTTGTATTATTAGTAGAGACAGAGTTTCACTATGTTGGCCAGGCTGGTCTAGAACTCCTGACCTCAAGCAATCCACTGGCCTCAGCCTCCCAAAGCGCTGGGATTATAGGCGTGAGCCACCGTGCCCAGCTTGTTTCCTTGATATTGCTCATGCTACCTTACAAAAAAACAATTGTTCTGCCATGCACAATGGAGCTCCAAATTTGTAGACGTATGCTTCCCAGTTCATGAATAACTAATAGAAACCAATTAGATGTTCAAATTTGTTGAAAGATTTTGTTTTTAAATACAACCTAAAAATTTACCTTTTTTCCATCCTATCTCAACTTAATAAGAAAATAAAAACAGAAATTCAGGAAGTACAGGAAATCCCAATATAGATGATATCAGCAGACCAGACCAGTGAAAAATTCTGAGAAACAGAAAGCATATGGAAACAGCACGAGGACAAACCCCATAGGGCCAAGAGAACTGTAACTCGTTACAAGTAAGAGGACGGACCTTCAAATAAATTTTCCTAGCAGAATCCAGGAATAACTAACCATGTCAGCCGATTCTGGGAGAAGCAGCAGGCCTTGGATGGTGAGCCAGGGAATTAAAACTCACACATCTTATGGGAAAATCTACACTACTCAACAGGGTACACTCACCATGGCTTCTGTAATAACAGTCTACATGCACTACCAGGTGAATAAAAGTCTTTACAGCAAAGCTGAATTCAACTTTTTAGTTCTACCACTTACTACAAATAAATCTATGACAATCGCTACTCATCCCATGAAAATCAGCAACATGAAAAGGAGTACTGAACTCAAGAATACCTAAAAAAAATTCATACAAAAAACAAAGACTATGTTTTTTAAAGTATAATAAATTCCCTCAAGAAATTCAAGGAAACATGATATGCATAAAAAGAAAAAAGAAAACTTTTTGGTTAAAACATATTTGTTCGGAAATAAAAGTATGCAAGGTGAATCAGCATCAGCTCCTGGAACTCTGTGGCTGGCTTCTCTACCCTGGATGCCATCCCCAGTGGACATACCATGTTCTAGTATCTTCTCTCTTTCCAAAATCACTTCTTTGGCTTCTCTTCGGCTTATAAACATGTACAAACTTCCTTTAAATTAGAAAAAGCCTTTCCCATGACCCAGATCCCTTTTCCAAATAAAGAAGTAATGAGGTGAGGAGGTGTTAAGAAGCTGAATGGATGGTCTATTATATGAACAAAGAAACAAGAGAAAAATGGGGAGGGATAGTTAGTAACATACCAAACTTAAAGTGCCACCTTTACTGGAGGAGATTACAAATTAAGAGCCTGTATATAGAACTTTGTCCATGAGCATATTTTCCTTGACCCATGGAGTGTTTTACAGAAATTCAATTCCATTTTTTAAAATCATGTATTTAAAATGAAAATACAGATTAACAGCTTCTCTTGAAAAACTGGTAGATCTGATAGCTTTGAGGCCACATTCCCAAACAGCAATGGTGGCTGGAGCCAAATGGCCAGCATGAAACAGGCATTCTCCTCCTCTCCACAGTCCCCAAGACTGTCTTCCTCACCTTGAGCTTATGCCGGTTACCCTCTATCGTCCCACTTGCCCTCTTTTTTTCTTACAGTAGAAAAATATTTCCTCTTATCCCAAGGCCTGCTTTTACTCATTGCCATTGTTTGCCAGGCCCCTGCAGGCACTTAAGTTTGTGAGTCCGCTGCAGAATGATGGAGTCAAGAGAGGAGCTGAAAACACAGACCTCTGGCTGGTAAGAGAAGGCTGACAGGGCTAGAGTTATAGCTTTAGGGGAGCTTGACATATGTTAAAATGAAAGAAGACTGAGTTCACAAAAAAAGAATATATTAAAAGGAAATGGCAATAATGAAGGAACTTTAGGAAATAACCATAATTCAAGTCAGTATGAGAAACTGAAAGGTAAGTAAGTAACAGTAAGAGAAAGGAAGTACAAGGAGTAAGATGGTCAAGACAGATTTCAAAATGAGTTAAATTGATGGTGCACAGATTACAGCAAAAATTCATTCAGTTGTGACACTCCAGCCATAGAAAGAGATCATGGTCCACTGTAAAGTAATCTACTTAACAACCAAATTCAAGTCTAAACTACCCACGAAACTGAACTACACATCAATTGATTAAGGTTAACACAGAAAGATGAGTGTCTTAATTACTGTCAATGTAAATGCTGTATCAAGGTCTTGGAAGACATTTTTCATTGACCAGAATTATCATATGACAAAATTCATCTTACATGTTAAAAACACTTTCAAATGAAACAAACAGGCGGGAAAAAAAAATTAGGCACAAATCAACAACAAAATTTCCCTCCAACTGCTGCACTCTATGAGAGTACGTTGTGCTGTCATATTAACAAAAATGATCAGTTAATAAAGTGAAAAAGTTACCAAGTTTTCCTCTAAATTTTTATGTCATGAGGAGAGCAAAAAGGCCCATTTAACCTAGAAGGCAAGAATTTAAGGCATTACACTGCAAAAGCCATCAGACTGTGAATAAGCGTAATATCTCTGCACATTTGGCTTAAAAAGAACATAATTTAGAAATTCTACAATATAAAATAGGTACCTCTGCTATGGCTTTTGCATTAGACTACAAAACAGGCCAGGCAAGGTAGCTCACGCCTGTAATCCCAGCACTGTGGGAGGCAGAGGTGGGTGGAACGCTTGAGCCCAGGAGTTCCAGACCACCCTGGGCAACAAGACGAGACCCTGTGTCAAAGAAGAAAAAAAAGGAAAAAAAAAAAAAAGATTACAAAATAGATAAATGTGAGATAATAATATGGAGAGAATTCATAGAGAAATATAAATTCCATATTAAACATGTAAAAATACCCTTAACAATCAAAAAAATAAACATTAAAGCAAAAATGAAGTACCATCATTGTACAACTACTAAATTAGCAAAATAATATTTTGTACATTTGGCCCAGCACGGTGGCTCACACCTGTAATCCCAGCACTTTGGGAGGTTGAGGCGGGTGGATCGCCTGAGGTCAAGAGTTCGAGACCTGTCTGGCCAACATGGTAAAACCCCGTCTCTACTAAAAGTACAAAAATTAGCCAGGTGTGGTGGCACGCCCCTGTAATCCCAGCTACTTGGGAGGCTGAGGCACAAGAATCACTCGAACTTGTGAGGCAGAGGTCACAGTGAGCCGAGATCACGCCACTGCACTCCATCCTAGGCAAAAAGAGCAAAACTCTGTCTCCAAAAATATATATATATGTATTTGCTTGGACAAGTAATTAATGGCACTCCCAGAAAAGGATCTTATGTAAATAATACAACAGAAGCAAAAGGTTATAGGAACAAATATACATTCTACTACAATGTTTTTGAAGCAAAACACAAATAATCTGGAAACAAGTCAATTATCCAACAATAGACATATATAGAAAATTATGGTGCAACAAAACTATAACCTATAATTTTTTGTTCTTTCATGTGACAATAATGGGACAACGTGTGCAAACCTGGAAAAATAACTGATACCATGTTAAGGTGGAAAACAGAATACAGGATGAGTATCCCTTATCCAAAATGCTTGGGACCAGAAGCATTTCAGAATTTACGTTTTCGTGGGGATTTTTTTTTTGGGGGGGGGGAATATTTGCATATCCATAATGAGATATCTTAAGGATGGGACCCAAGTTTAAACATGAAAATTCATTTATGTTTCATATACACCTTATACACATAGCCTGAAGGTAATTTCATACAATATTTTCAATAATTTTGTGCACAAAACAAAGTTTGTGTACACCGAAACATCAATGAAGTGCAAACTGTCACATCAGGTCAGGTGTGGAAATTTCCACGTGCGGCATCATGTTGGTGCTCAAAAAGTTTTAAATTTTAAAGCACTTCAAATTTCCAATTTTGGGATTAGAGATGTTCAACTTGTAATATACCTACCAAGATTAAAAGTACACTAGGTAAAGAATGAAAAGCTAGGCCAAGACAAAGATGGAAAAACTCAAAGTTCAAATAAGTATTATATTGGAGTGATACATTTATGGAGCATTTTATTTTTCAATATTATTTTAATAATAAAGTAGATGAAACAAAATCTAGGCATCATGGGATAACAAGATTGACACAGAGACAAAAACCTATAGCGACAGTGCTAAAAAAAAAAAAAAAAGAAGAAAGAGAGAGCTGTGAGATCCCAATGTTAGACAGCAGTAACGGTAAGTTTTCACAAATGAAATAAAAAGAGGTCACCAGCTTTAGAAACTTAGAAAGCTACTAAGGACCTAAGAGAGAGGCACTTCAGCAAAATGGTAGAGACACAGATCTTACACAGAGAACTGCTTATTAAATAAATGAGGTGGGGAAGTATCTGTGAGTGACCCAGGCAATGCGGGGAAATAAATTGTTGATCACCTGGGCAAAGAATGAAAGAACGGTGATAGTTTGGAAAAGAATCAAGGTTGAGAAAAGTTTTTTAAACTACAAAATATTAAGGAAAGTGAATGGTCAGTAAAGAGAAACAATGAAAATGCAAAGGAGAATGAAAACTACAAAATGGCTCTTGGAGGCCACATAACACAAGAACTCAGGTTACATGAAGCACAACATGGCTTTTCATTGCTCCCAAAAAGCACTCAAATTTGTCTACAAAAGTGATCCTTCATTAAAAATTTTCATATCTTCTTAAAATCAGACATACTGATTAGAACACGTCTCCAACAGCATTTTAGCAAAAAGCCAGAGTTCAAATGAATGATTCTCTACTGACTTCTAAAAAAGGTAGAAGTCCCAAGTTAAACCCCAAATAAAATAATTTTGTTAGAGCAAGGAATGTTTGGAATGGATCTAAAATTCACATTTTTCTTCACTTCAACATCACTGAAATCAGTACGCATCTTATATTTCCTGGCATCTTAGCAATGTGCCATAGTTTAGAAGGCTGCATTTTTTTCTTTTTTAAAAATTTTCCCAGATTCAACTCAATTCCTCACAGAGCATTTTTTTCCTTAATAATACATAAGATAATGGTGTGCCTTACAATAGAAGGTATCTTTTATTTTTAAAAATATGGTATCTTTTGGTCCTTACCAACTTCCCTCACGTGTTACTATATAACTACAACAGAAAAGGAGGTAGAGAATAGAGAGAGGAAAGCTGGCATATGCAGTTTTAAACTACTCTGTTTTATAAAAATAGGAAACTGTGAACATTTCACCAGATTTCTGATTCTATAACTAAATGATCCCCACGGTTCTGATTCAGTAACGTTTATTCATGCTCATAAATGCAGAACATAAATCTTACATATACACATTTCACAGCACTCCATGTGAGTAACGGTCATGTTACAGCACAGGAAAAATGACATTTAAGGAAAAAGGATAATGAAAACAGCATACTTTCATTTAAACACAAAAACTTTAAATTTTTTTTTTATTGAACAAGATCAGAGACAAGAATATTTTTATTAAAAATATTAAACTTTTAGGACTGGGCGCGATGGCTCATACCTGTAATCCCAGCACTTTGGGAGGCCAAGGCAGATAGATCGCTTGAGGCCAGGAGTTTGAGACCAGCCTGGACAACATGGTAAAACCCTGTCTCTACAAAAAATACAGAAAAGTAGCCACACCTGGTGGCACACACCTGTAATCCCAGCTACTTGGGAGGCTGAGGCACAAGAATCGCTTGAACCCAGGAGGCAGAGGTTGCAGTGAGCCAATATTGTACCACTGTACTCTAGTCTGGGTGACAAGACCGAGACTCTGTCTCAAAAAAAATAAAAATATTAAACTTTTAAGAGAAATACTAGATAAGTAACTATCACTCAGGGCAATTTAATACATATTAACACATTTGCAACTTTTCTGTAAATATAAAATTATTCCAACATAGTTTACAAAAGTAAATAAATATATACATACATATTAACAATTTCAGTGACGATTTTTTTGGTGTTTTAATCTCAACAAATGGGTTGTCTAGAAACATTAAAGAAAAATATGTGAAACATTTACAGCGTCAAGCACCTTTGGCAATTACCATAATCACAATTAGCCACTCTGAACTGGATGCACTACAAATTTTTAAATGTTTTACAAATAAGGAAACTGAATTTGCCAACCAATAAATGTATTCTACTACTTCTGCCTATACTGTTGGAAATATAAAGGATGATCAAGTCAATGAAATCAGCATCTTAAAATGTTTCTTCAGCATAATCAGCTTATTGAGGACAGCAGTTTACTCAGAGAACATTTAAAAGTGACTGAATATACACATGGGTTCAGCATCAAAACAAAAACAGGTAACATGCCAGAAAATTCCATCATGACCTTCTAGTTGTATAACTTTGTAATTTACTTTCACATGCATTGTTCTTAGGATAAAATGAGCTATACTATTAGATATAAGAACTCCAGATCTTCCCATTTTTAAATAATACTATCTACACCATTTGAAGCTAAACTCAGACATACAAACTTCATCATGCTAAAATTTATCAAGCACATTTTTTCAATAGAGGTCAGGGACATGATGACTACAAAATTTCATGTTACATCATACAAGAATTGCAACTAACTGTCCTACAGCAAGGGGGGACATGCATAAGAATTCAAAACTTCTGGAATTTTATTACTAAGTCTTTTATAAAATATGGAGATAATATTTTCTGATTATTTAATATAAGGAATGCACTATGCTAGGAGAAATTTAAAAAGCAGCTCCTGTCCTTAAGAAAATCAGAGTATAACAGGGAAAGAAACATAAAGAACTTCATTAACATGTGGCAGAACACGGTGTTAGAGGAGTCTTACGAGAACACAAGGATGATAAAACTGAGAAGTATATTAAACCATAACTACATTTGCACTAATGTAGGTGAAAAATAGTCTCTCTGGATTAAATGGGTCACTAGGAATAAGAGTATTTTATTTTAGTTATCTGCAACATGTTTTAAATGTTGACAAGTTTTCATATTTAACATACTCTACCCTAATAGCCAAAAATTTTTGTTTCTGGGCTTTTAAAATACTCAAGATTCTAGGCTGGGCATGGTGGCTCATGCCTGTAATCCCTTTGGGAGGTTGAGCCGGGTGGATCACTTGAGGCCAGGAGTTTGAAACCAGCCTGGCCAACATAGTGAGACCCTGTCTCTACTAAAAACACACACACACACACACAAAATTGCCAGGCATGGTAGCATGTGCCTGTAGTCTCAGCTACTCGGGAGGCTGAGGCATGAGAATCACTTAAACCCTGGAGGCGGAGGTTACACTCCAGCCTGGCAACACAGCGAGACTCTGTCTCAAATATATATATATATATATATATATTTTTTTTTTTTTTCAAGTATCTCAAAGGCTCTCATGATAGTAAAACCAAAATAGCCAAATAAAAGCATCAGTCCATGAAGGTAAAATGGTTTTTAAGAACAACCATGGCTAATACTGAAGAATTCTAATTACTTGTTAGCATACCAGGCTACAATATGACACACAGAAGAAAAAAAAAAAAAAGCTATGTTCAATGAAGATTTTTTTTTTTTTTTTTGGAAACAGGGTCTTACTATGTCGCCCAGGGTAGAGTGTACTGGCAGTTCACAGCAGCCTCTACTTCCCGGGTTCAAGTGGCCCTCCCACCGCGGCCTCCCGAACAGTTGGGACTATAGGCACATGCCAACATGCTCAGCTAATTTTTGTATTATTTATTTATTTATTTATTTTGTAGAGACGGGGTTTCGCCATGGTTTGAGACCCAGGCTGGTCTCAAACTCCTGGAAATCAAGCAATCCTCCCACCTTGGCCTGCCAATGTGCTGGGATTACAGGCATGAGGCCACTGTGCCCAGACTTCAATTAATTTTTTAATGAAGCTTTTATAAAAACTGAAACGTACAAATTCTACATGTACATCTTTTAGAACTTTCAGAAACTGAACCGACCACTGTAACTACTACTCGATCAGGAAAGAGAACATTACCAACACCTCAGAAGCCACCCTCATAAGTCCTCAGTAACCTCCAGTGCTAACAACCATTTTGACTTCCAGCACCACAGATTAGTTCTGCCTGTTTTTGTATGGTCACTTTACAACATGGGAAAAGCAATTTATTTAAATGGGGTCAGAGAATATGTACACTTTCTTATGTCTTCTTTTGTTTCACATTGTGAACTTCATCTTTGTTGCTATGGAAAGCAAAATACTACAGAGGATTTCACCATTTATCTTTTTTCTTCATATATATTTATTTTTATTTATTTATTTATTTTTGAGACAGGGTCTCGCTCTGTCACCCAGGCTGGAGTGCAGTGGCTTCAACATGGCTCACTGTAGCCTCGACTCCTGGGCTCAAGCGATCCTCCCACCTCAGCCCCCCAAGTAGCTGGGACCACAGATGCACACCACTGCACCCAGCTAATTTTTAAAATTTTTTATAGAGATGACGTCTAACTATGTTCCCCAGGCTGGTTCAAACTCCTGAGCTGAAGCAATCCTCTTGCCTTGGCCTCCCAAAGTACTGGGATTACAGGCCTGAGCCGCTGCACTCGGCACCTTTTAATGTTTTTGTTTTGTTTTGTTTTTGGAGGCGGAGTTTCGCTCTTGTTGCCCAGGATGGAGTGCAATGGCACGATCTCGGGTCACCGCAACCTCTGCCTCCCGGGTTTAAGCAATTCTGCTACCTCAGCCTCCTGAGTAGCTGAGATTATAGGCATGCGCCACCATGCCCAGCTAATTTTGTATTTTTAGTAGAGATGGGGTTTCTCCATGTTGGTCAGGCTGGTGTCAAACTCCCGATCTCAGGTGACCCGCCCGCCTTGGCCTCCCAAAGTGCTGGGATTACAGGAGTGAGCCACTGCACCCTGCCCCCTTCTAACTTTTGATGAACATTTTGTTCTATTCTAGTTTGATGCAAGCACAAATAATGCTGCTATAAACACTTTTGGCATATTCTTTGGGGCACAGATGTGTGTGTTTCCATTGTATCTGTACACCTGGTAGTGGAACTGCTGGGTCAAAAGTTCTAGCAATTTTACTCCCACTAGCAGGGTGTATAAGTTGCAATTTATACTTCCACGAGCAGAGCTGTCCAATTGCTCTACACTTGGAGTTATCTTTTTCATTTGTTCTACTGGTAAGAATATAATAATACAACTGTGGCTTTAATTTGCGCTTCCACCATATGATTTTGAGGGCCTTTTAAGAGGCTTATTTTATTGTCCAAATGAGCATCTTCTTTTGTGAATTGCTTCTTCAAGTCTTAGATCTTTGGCTGGGGGAAGGCAAGAGGGAGGGAGTGTCACGCTTTTATTGATTTGTAGCTCTTTATGTATTGTGGTTATGAGTGCTCTGTTGGATGTATGTGTTGCAAATATTTCCTCCCACTCTGTAACTTGCCTTTTTGCTCTTAATTTTTATTTTGTTGAAGAGAAATTCTTAATTTTAATGTTCAACTTATCAATGTCTTCCTTTATCTAGTTAATCTCAATGACACTCAAACACTACGTCCAAATGTCAAAAAAAGGAATGTTTAGACTAATTCAACTAATATTAGCATGTTTATAATAGATATTTTAAAGAAGTTTATGCAAAGATTTTAATTTCTAACAAATTTGGCATAATTGCTCAATAAAAAAGAACCTTAGGGCTTATTTTAGTGAAAAATGGTTAGGAACTGAATCTCTGGTTTCTGGTGGGACACATATCAATGACCTCCTTCTCAATTAAACGATTTTAAATTTCTATTCTCATTCAAACAATTTTGCACAGTGGCTCTTAAAGACAGGTTTTGCTTTAATATCATGAAGAAACTGAGAATCTAAGTAATGTGAAACAAAACAAATCAAAAAAGCCCCCCAAAACAAATTACACCCCTGAATATCTCATTACTAAAATTAGGGCAATGATTATTTAGCACATCAATCACCTTTTTTTTCCTTTTGCTAATTTCTATTGCTATCCTATTTCACATCCTGAAATGAGAACCAAAAATAACTGAGGAAAATAAAGCTGTTAGATTGATAATTTAAGATATGATATTTGCATAACAAATTACCATATTATGATACAATTACATATTCCTTAAACAAGAACTTGCTTGACAGGATGAGGCATGCAAAGCAGCAAAGTACTTTAAAAACTTGAGAAAAAATCTGGTCAACAATACGCAAGCAGATGTTGTGCTTATATAAATTACATACATAGGAAGAGTTTCCTTTTCTCTCTCTGTATAGATATATACATATTTTTGAGACAGGGTCTCACTGTGTCATCCAGGCTGGAATGCAGTGACACGATCATAGCCCACTACAGCCTCAACCTCCGCAGGCTCAGGTGATCCTCCCACCTCACCCTACCAGGTAGCTACAGGCACGTGCCACCTCCTTTTCTATTTTTATAATCTTTGATTAAACTAACAATCTACTAATCAAGTTTTATTTATAATAAAAGCATCAAAATGACTTGATGAATGTGGGAAAGAATCAACCCTGCAAACCATGATTTAAATGTTTCTTTTATGCAATAACAACTTGAGGAATATACTTTTTCTTGTCACTTGTTAGATTAGTGTTAATGACAAATCATATAAACCCTATCATTTGAAGAATCTGAAGTATCCTAATTTTCCCAAAATGCTTTTCAGCAAAAGTATGCAATACTACATCATCAAAAATTAATAAATTAATATAAGCCTTGTAAAGAACATTTGATAACCTATGGTTAAACAGCACAAACAAAAAGCCTACTTCATCCTGTCCTGACTAGTCACAAACAGTAATACCTCACTTATCAAGAAAGCTCCATCTGAAAAATTCTACTCACCACATCACGGACTAGAAAAAGCAGCAAAAGAGTTGGTAGGCAAATTACATAAAGAAAAAACAAAAACTACCCAAACTCAAGATTGTTCAACAGCATCCATATAATTCTGAAAATAGTAGAATATGTACTGCATGGAATACTGTTTATTCAGCTCATAGACAATGCTCACTGCACACACAGATTCACACTCACAGACTCCTCAGATGAATTTCAGGGCCCCCAGTTTGGAGGAGCACTAAAACAGATGTTACAGAGTTTATGTACTTTCCTTAGAGAAGAGCTCTTGGGGAATTTACTGAGAAGCACTTCACTATTTTTTTTCAAACATGATTCTTATAGCCTTATTCATGATCATTTCATAAAAGCAGTAAACCAAAAACCGAATGGAAGTGGAAGCACTGCCAGAATCAGGCATGCTAACAGCAGAAAAGGAATGCCTGAAAGAGACATAAGCAGCCTTACACCACTCAATAGTCATTGCTAGCTTCCCTGTAATTTCAAACCCATATGAAAATTACAGTTCATACAATGACTTTGTTATCAAGAAAAGATTGTATTTTTAAGTGTACCTAAAATAAGATTTCTCAGAAAAGGTTAACATAGCAAATTTAAAGCTTAAAGAGGACACTCCACCAAAGAGGTACAAAGATAGCAAATACATGAAAGATGTCTGAAACCACCATTAGCCATTAGGGAGATGCAAATTAAAGTCATAAGAAGATCCCACTCACACCTATTAAAATGGCCAAAATTTAAAATGCTGGCAATACCATGTAGTGGCAAGAATGGGAAATGAGAACTCTCCAACATTGCTGGTGAGAACGAAAAATGATACAGTCACTCGTGAAAGTGGTTTGGCAGTTTCTCATAAAGCACTTACCCTATGACTCAGAAATCATGCACCTGGGCATCTATCCTAGAGAAATGAAAGCTTACATTAACAGAAAAATCTGGACACAAATGTTCATAGCAGCTCTATTCACAATCACTCAAAACTGGCAACAACTCAAGTGTCCTTCAACAGGTGATTGTATAAGCAAATTGGTATATCCACACAATGGAATATCCTGAAATAAAAAGCAACTACTGATACATGCAACAGCTTGGATGAATCTCAAAGGCAAGCTTAGTGAAAGCAGCTAGTCTTGGAAGATTATATACTGTATGGCTCCACTTATATAACATCCCAATTTATTAAGTTAAGTGACATTCTTTAAAAGAAAAAACTACAGGAATGGATGGCAGATCAGTGGTTGCCAGAGATTATAGGTAGGCAAAGAGGTGACTATAAAGGGGTAGCATGAGGGAGTTTTAGGGGGTTACAAAACTCTTCTGAATCTTTATTATAATGAAAGTCACAAAAATCCATACATGTATTTAAATTCCTGGGATTGTATATGTGTATGATCATTTAGAACGGTATGGGCCAGGTGTGGTGGCTCACATCTGTAATCCCCAGCATTCTGGGAGGCCAAGGAAGAACGATCCCTTGAGTCTAGGAGTTCAAGACCAGCCTGGGCAATATAGCAAGACCCCATTGTAATAAAAATAAATAAAACTGTAGGATCTTTTTTTTTGTTTTTTTGTTTGTTTGTTTTTTGAGATGGAGTTTTGCTCTTGTTGCCCAGGCTGGAGTGCAGTGGCGTGATCTCAGCTCACTGCAACCTCTGCCTCCTGGGTTCAAGTGATTCTCCTGCCTCAGCCTCCTGAGTAGCTGGGATTACAGACACGCGCCACCATGCCCAGCTAATTTCTGTATTTTAGTAGAGGTGGGGTTTCACCATGTTGGCCAGGATGGTCTCAATCCCCTGACCTCATGATCCTCCTGCCTCGGCCTCCCAAAGTGCTGGGATTACAGGCGTGAGCCACCGCGCCCAGCCCAGGATCATTTTTAAAGGATTCTCTTTTTAGTTTAAGATAAAAACATTACTGGAGAAAAAGAGGGACAATTTATAATGATAAAAGGGTCATCAGTGAAATATAATAATTAAAAACCTACATGCAACCTAACAACAGAGCACCAAAACAAATGAAACAGAACTGAGAGAGACAATTCATTAATAATTGAAGACTTCAAAACTCCACTCTAAATAATTGACAGAATAACCAGACAAAACATCAGCAAGGGTATAAACACTAGACAGTATAATTAACCATACTGACTTAACTGACATCTATAGAAAACTTCATCCAACAACAGCAGAATACACATTCTTTTTAAGGTCCAGGTTAGACCATTTGCAATGTCACAAAACAAGTCTCAAATTTAGAAGGATTGAAATAATATAAAATATGTTTGCTGATCACAAAGAATTAAAATCTACAATCAAAAGAAATTTGAGAAATCTCCAAATACTTGAAAATCAAACAATAACATCCAAACAACCCATGGGTCAAAGAAAAAAAAAATCACAAGCAAAATTAAGAAATATATTTATTATCATCATTAATACAATTTTTATTTTTAGACATGGAGCCTCGCTATGTTGCCCAGACTGGCCTTGAACTCCTTGGTGCAAGTGATCCTCCTGCTTCAGCTTCTTGAGTAGCTGGGACCACAGGCATATGCCACCACACCCAGCTCAAAATTTTAAAATACCTTAAACTGAATAAAAACAAAAATACAACATGTCAAAATTTATGGGATGCAGCTAAAGCTGTGGCTAAAGACAATTTTATAGCTTTTTTTTTTTTTTTCTTTTTTTTTAAGACAGGATCTTGCAGGCTAGAGTGCAGCAGCAAGATCATGGCTAACTACAGCAGTCTCAAGCAATCCTCCCAACTCAGCCTCCCAAGTAGATGGGACCACAGGCACATGCCATTAAACCCAACTGATTCTTTTTTTCTTTCTTCTTCTTTTTTTTTTTTTTTTTTTTTTTTTTTGTAGAGATGGAGTGTCACTATGTTACCCAGGCTGGTCTCGAACTCCTGGCCTCAAATGATCCTCCCACCTTGGCCTCTCAAAGTGCTGGGATTACAGGTGTGAAACACTGCTCACAGCTGAGAATTTTATAGCTTTAAACTTAAACCTATTTTAGAAAATAAGAAAGATCTCAATCGTCTTCACTTTAAGAAACTAAACAGTAAAGTAACCCCAAGCAAGCCAAAAGAAAGAAGTTAAAGTTTAGAGCAAAACCCAATGAAACTGAAAACAGAAAAACAGTAAAAGTCAATAAAACCAAAAGCTGGTTCTTTGAAAAAGTAAATAAAATAGACAAAGCTTTATTTAGATTGACCAAGAAAAAAAGAAAATTATCCCCCCCAAAATTACCAAAATCAGGAATAAATGAGGGAGCATCACTATTGACCCTACAGTATAAAATATAAATATATTTTAAATATATAAAAGAAAATATAAAAACAGTATGCCATCAAATTAGACAAATTAGATTAAATGGACAAATTCCTAGAGAGACATAAATAACCAATACCAACTCAAGAAGAAACAGAAAATCTCAATATACCTAAAACAAGAAATTGAATTACTAATTAAAAATCTTCCCAAAAAGAAAATACCAGGACTAGATGGCTTCACCATGGAATTCTATCAGATACATAAAGAAACAATGCCAATTCTTCACGAACTCTTCTAGAAAACAGAGAAAGAGACAACACTTCCCAGCTCATTTTATATTACCACAATACTAAAGCCAGACAAGAGCATTACAAAATAAGAAAACAATGAACCAATATTCCTCAAGAATTTACAAACAAAAATTCTCAATTAAAAAATCCTCTGTCTGGGTGCAGTGGCTCCCACCTGTAATTCCAGCACTTCTAGGAGGCCAAGATGGGAGGATCAACTGAGCCCGAGAGTTCAAGATCAGCCTGAGCCAGGCGCAGTGGCTCATGCCTGTAATCCCAGCACTTTGGAAGGCCAAGGCAGGTGGATCACGAGGTCAGGAGTTTGAGACCAGCCTGACTAAACATGGTGAAACCCTGTCTCTACTAAAAATACACAAAGTAGCCAGGCAAGGTGGTGCACACCTGTAGTCCCAGCTACTCGGGAGGCTGAGGCAGGAGTAACCAGCCTGGGCAATATAGTAAGGTCCCATCTCTACAAAAAATTTTAAAAATTAGCTGGATGAGGTTGCGTGTGCCTATAGTCCCAGCTACTATTGAGGCTGAAGCGGGAGGATCGCTTGATCCTAGGAGGATGAGGCTACAATAAGCCAAGATCATATCACTGCACTCCAGCCTGGGTGACACAGTAAGTAAGACCCTGTCTCAAAAAAAAAAAAAAAAAGAAAAGAAAAGAAAATCTCAATTAGATACTATGACCAAACGGGATTCATCTTAGCAAGTATGGTTTAACATCCAAAAATCAATTATTATAACCTCCAAAAGTCAATTAATTTAATACAACATATTAATAAAGGACAAAAAGCCACACGATTATATCAATATATACAGAAAAAGCACTTGAAAAATTTAATTCAACACCACTAATGATTTAAAAAGAAAAAGAAAAAAAGCCTTAGTAAACCAGGAACATAAGGGAACTTCCTCAGCCTGAACAAACATCATACCAACAGTAAAAGACTGAAAGCTTTCCCTCTAACATCAGGAACAAAACAAGGACGTCCACTGTCACCATTTCTATTCAACAATCCAATGAAGATTCTAACTGTTACAAGAAGGCAAAACAAAATAAAACAGAACAAAAATTAAAGGCATCTGAATAGGACAAGAAGGTGTAAAACTGATAACCTTCCAAAGCCTCAATTGTAGAGATTTTTCAATACTCACACAAGCACTACCCAATCAGAGAACTCATGTTTAAAAGCAAAAGCCCCTGTGCTATTGCATGGTAAAGACTGAACCACGGAGTCCCTTCGGGCTGGCCTGCCCACATCATCAGTGATCAGGAGTATAAAGTTCCTTCATAATATTAAAAAACAAACAAAATGCTGAATCTATCCTTTAAGGAGTAATAAAAACAAATATTTGCTGAATTAAAATTTATTCATAAAATATCTGACGTTTTCCAAATATAAACACACGTTAATTTTCTTAATCCATTTGAATAAAATCATATAGACTTTATAGTATCAGCTTCACTGCTAACAGAACATACATAACCTTTGTTCCACTGACTGCTTTTAGGTAAGAAACAATAATCCAAGTTTCCAGCCTGTGCTATATATTCTGATGAGGGATACTTTGGTGATGATACTTTGTCAAAATACTTTTTTTGTTGTTCAACATTATGTCCTTGGAGAAACATAATGAAAGTCTCCTCAGTCACTCTGGTTAATCAATTTAATTGTTTCTCTAGAAGTCACATCCACAAAAATAATTGAATTTGTATTGTTCACAAACATAGCAGTAAAACAAGACCTCCCATCTGCCCAAGTAGTTCTTCAACAACTACTTTCGCCAGGTGCAATAGCTCACACCCGTAATCCCAGCACTTTGGGAGGGTGAATGGGGAAAACTGCTTGAGCCCAGGATTCAACACCAGCCTGGGTAACATGGTGAAACCCCATCACTCCAAAAATAAAAAAAACTGGGGGCGTGGAGGGTTTGGGCACCTGTAGTCCTAGCTACTCAGGAGGCTGAGGCAGGAAAATTGCTTGGGCCCAGGAGTTCAAGGCTGCAGAAAGCTACAGAGCTACAGTCACACCACTGCACTCCAGCCTGGGTGACAGAGCAAGACCCTGTCTCTAAAAAAATAAATACCTATGTTTTGGGGGAGGGATAAAGGGGCAGGCACCACAGATATATTCTTTCGATATAAATTGATTTGGAAATTGGAGAACAGTTACATAAGTAAAAGAGATCCCAGATTCTGCCTTCCGGGACAACAAAAAAGGAGGTAAATGTATGAAAATGCCATTTACTGGCTGGGCACAATGGCTCATGCCTATAATCCCAGCACTTTGGGAGGCCACGGTGGGAGAATTGCTTGAGCCCAGGAGTTTGAGACCAGCCTGGGCAATAGAGTGGACCCCATCCCTACATTAAAAAAAAAAAAAAAATCTAGCCAGGCATGGTGGCATATGCCCATGGTCCCAGCTACTTGGGAAGCTGAGATGGATCGCTTGAGCCTGGGAGATTGAGGCTGGAGTGAACCATAATTGTGCCCTGGGCGAGAGAGTGAGCTCCTGTCTCTGAAAAATAAGAGCGGCTTTCACTCACAAATATTCTGACCACTAAAGAGCTACCGCACGGGCCTGGTCCTATCACACAGTCTTCAAGTCTGAAGCAGACAGCAGAGGTTGTTTATATCCAGAGTTTATATTAACATGACCTATATCCAGAAAACTGCTATCTGCCTCAACAGATGTCCACACTATTAAACAGCTCTGTCAAGCTCTTTCAGAATCAAAGATTTTTCTTAAAGAAAAGGAACACACTAAAATTGTCACCTGTAAACCCCACTTCTGGCTCTTTTTTAACAGGGCATCAAGCTGACCCTTTATGCTGTTGGAAAAAAACACGGCTATATTGAAGATTAAAACTTCTAAACTAATAAAAACAACACCACAGTTCTAAATTCTCTCCTGCCTCATCTCCCCTTGAAACTTCAAGCAATCCACACTTGCTCCTTCCTGCCAAATCCTTGCTGTAACTGTGCCATCAGGCTGCTAGCACGAAAAACTGAGTTACTATACCACCCTCTTTGCACTCAGCCCTGGTAGTAGCCAATATTTCCCAACACAGCCAAACAAAGACCTTGTTGTCAAGGACAGGCATCTCGGCCAATGCTAGCTACCGTGGTGCCTCGCCATTACACAGGTTGAAATACAGTCAAATCATTAGGTGACAGAGGGGAGATGGTGCTGACAGACTTGGATTAGCAGAAACAGGACAGCATTTTTCCCACACACGCACAACCCGAACTATAATAAATGAGGATTATCAGGTAAATTCTCATAATTCTCTTCATTTACAATTTACTGAAAATGTAGCCTACAAATGCCAACTCTTCATGTGGGGGGGCGGGGGAAGGGGTGTGTGTGTGTGTGTGTGTGTGTGTGTGTGTGTGTGTGTGTGTGTGTGTGTTTGAAATAAAACATTAAGCCTGAAACGGTGGCTCACGCCTGTAATCTCAGCACTTTGGGAAGCCAAGGCAGGCTGAGCATTTGACTGTTGTTCCAGCTACTTGTGGGGTTGAGGTGGGAGGATTGCTTGAGCCGGGGAGGTCGAGGCTGCAGTGAGCCATGATTGCACCACTGCACTCCAGTCTGGACGACAGAATGAGATTATCTCAAAACAACAATAACAACAACAACAACAACAACAAACAGGTTGCTCCCTAATACT
This sequence comes from Homo sapiens, assembly GCF_000001405.40. Lineage (NCBI taxonomy): Eukaryota > Metazoa > Chordata > Mammalia > Primates > Hominidae > Homo > Homo sapiens. The sequence goes on along the minus strand of NC_000014.9, from coordinate 71,491,500 downwards.
ACTGCTTATATTGCTTCTAGAGCACTGATTACAGTTCATATGTCCATATTTGTTTCATTTCTCTTCCACTAAGCCATTAAGTTCCATGAAGATAAGTACAATGTCAGTTTGGAGATATACTGTCCCCAGAACCTAGGCCTGACACATAGAAGGGGCTCAAGGGGAAAAAGAGGAATGAATGATGATCACCAAAAGGAACAACTGTAATTTAAACTTCAGAGAACTGAACCCAAAGATAGCTCAGAGTTTCCAAGAGCCACATTCAGTTTGCTTGAGTATCCTGCTGTAATGAAGGAAAAACAAAACTGAAATTAAAGAGACTCTTGAAAATCAACTGGTAGTTGACATTTCCTTTCCAATGAGTTAGAAATATATTAATAGGTGAATTTAATTTCTTTTTATTTTTAAATATCGACATCCTGTCTGTTTGAAGGGAGGACTCTGAGGATTAAAAAGGGTAACTACTTAAGCACTCAGTGATATACAGAGCATTATAAAATATTAGGATATGATAAATATCATTGCTACTAAGTTAAATAAGCAAACTTCCCAGTATCAGGAACAGGCATCTTCATTCCTATTAAACCCCTACCTTTGAAAATGTTCTCTACGATGTATGTACGATATCAGGTAGCTAAAACTTAAGGTCATCTTTATAAAGAAATTCTACTTTTTATAGATTCAGCATTTATGTTATTATGAAAAAATAACTATTGTAAGCAATTACTTTGCTTTTGTTCAAATGGGTATACAACAAAGAAAAAATGATAAATGCTTCCAAATGTTTCCACAAGTGTTTCAAATAATGTTGCTGTATGACACTTTGTAGGAGCTAGTTAATGGCACAACAATCTTGGAGATGTTCACACATCACCTGTGTGGGCAATGCAAAAATATTCACAGAGGTCCTCTGTTGGAAACACATCAATTATTATAATAACATGGACAATACATCCTCTTATAAATAAAATACAAGTTTAAAAACCCACATTTTCTTTTTTAAAAATACTTATTTTGATGTAAAAAAAAATTTAGACACAGTTAGTCACAAAATAATTTATAATTTTGTGTTGCTGAAAAGTACCAAAAAGACATAATGTTAAGCACTGACACCATTAAAAGGTATCATCAGCCTCAAGGAAACTATTACACAAAGGTGTTGGTTAAGATGATAATCATTAAGACTACAAGAAAAGTGGTGCCCAGAAATAAATACAGGTTTTCCTACATCAAAATAAATGCTTAAGTAACACTGTTAAATCATGAAGAAAAAAAAATATTGTCCTTCAAGGTTATTTTTTAATGAAATCAAAATAACTTATTACCACTTTGTTTCAATTTTAGTTGAAATTTTAGGCAATAATTTAACTATATCTATGCAAGCTCAATATATGTTCACTTCTCTGATTATTAAAAAGTTAGCAATAACCTTCTCTACTCCAATCTTACCCTATTAACATATCTGTTTAACACATTCTATGTAAACCTTAGACTTGTGTGTGATAAATGAGGCTTGAAAGAATCCCTCCATATTTTGATAACTGATTATTCACTTGCATAAATGAATAATGTTAAGTTGCAACATATGATAAACTGACTTCCAGCCCCGTGAGAGCTGCCACTAGTCTTACCTTTCTCATTTGTAGGTTTAATAACATTTACAAGCCTGTCCAACCCACAGCCCGCAGGCCACATGCAGCCCAGGACAGCTTTGAATGCGGCACAACACAAATTCATAAACTTTCTTAAAACATTATGAGATTTTTTGGCAATTTTTCTTTTTTTCTTTTTTTTTTTTTAAGCTAATCAGCTATCATTAGTGTTAGTGTACTTTATGCGTGGCCTGAGACAATTCTTATTCTTCCAGTATGGCCCAGGGAAGCCAAAAGATTGGACATCCCTGATTTAGGCAGTCTCCAGAGGAAAAATTCCTGACTCACCTAAATCACACTGAAGAATATATCAATACAATGGTCTTATTACCTTAAAATTAACCTGTTAAATTTTCTTTCCATGTTCTCTAACCTTTCCTAGTCAAACTGGAAAATATCCAATAAAATTAGTGTAGAGAAACCATACTCAATTCTATAACGAATAATCTCTCATCTTCTCACGAATTTCCTGGAAGTAATGAGTGTGGACTGAAGAAGCAGACATATAGCACACAGACTGGGTCCCAAGTTACAAGCACACTGACGTTATCTAGCTTCAAAGGCATACTGCCTTTCAGAGTCTAAAACAGAGCGATGTGCATCATAAGAGATAGCCTATCAGATCCCTAGGCCCCAAATGTACCAAAGGTCAGTTTTCTAAAGGCAATGTCTATTTTTAAACGAATATAAGTTGGGTTCTAAATCTGACCTCCATTTAAATGATCAACTGGGGAGGAATGTCTGGCTGGACTCCTAAGCAGTTTAAGTTGCTTGTGGAATGGTCCAAACAAAGTTCATTTTATACACAACACACAAAGATTCTCTTAGCAGCAGGCGTCTTCCACAGAGGCAAGAGCAGCAGCTGTGAACAAGGAGCCATCCTGCAGCTGAGGAGCCTGGAATTTACTTCTTCACATAACTGATAAAAGCAGGCCATTCTCCACTAAGATGGTTTGGGAAAACCAATTTCCGAGTGCTCAGTATAAAAGAATGAGCATATTTTATGAAAAACAGAGCATATTTTCAGTGGCGTGCAGAGTACATGAATACCATCCAGAAGAAGATGCCAACAAAAACCTACAGTATTTTCAAGCTTCCTCACAGTACTCTTCTCTTCACAAAGTACAAGTTCACAGCCTACACTGACCAAGAGTCTCAGTGACAAGGAAGAAAGAGTTTTCTTTTGAATTTTGTGTTCAGAAACAGGAAAATAAAGGAAAACCATGAATTTCCTATTACAACATCTCTTAGAGATAATTATGGCATCAACTGATAATTTTGGAAATTTTCATCATTCTCAATTTTGAAGAAGCCTCAAAGCACTGGGAACTTTTACAGCTTTTTAAAAATTATTTTTCATGGGTACTACAACAGTGGTATAAGGTTGGCACTAGCATACTGTACTAGTTGGGAAATTATGTCCTATCCATTTTAATATCCACATTTGAAAAATCACTTCCAGGACAGAGTGAAATTCTAAAACAAATACACCTCTGAAAACACATCTATAAACATAGAACTACATAAATTATATATATATATTTTAAGCCAAAATAATAGTAATTCAGTAAACTCCATTTAATAAACTATTAATAATCAGTAATGAAAGTGAATATAGCAGATGTGCCCATTTGTACATGTCACTAACAAGGTCTGCCTTCTCTCATTAGCCAGTAGTTCTGGCCCCCTCCACCACGCCTAAAGATAAACCAACACAGTGAGTCAGAGGGCAGAGCAAAGCCAGACATCTCCTTTTCTAGATATCTGAACAATCAGACTTTAAGATTCAAAAAGTATCGACCATGAGAAGTGAAAGCATAGCATCTGCATCAAAAGCCTTGATTTGTCATGGCACCTACACACTGAGGATGGGGTGTATGTGTATGTATCTGTCTGTCTCCCCCAGTTCCCTGGAAAATCCTAAAGGTAAAGACTACTCTTGTTCTCTTTTGCAGCTCTAGAACCCAGCATATAGCAGATATTCAAGTGTTAAATGACAACTTGAGCAAATGAATACAGATCTCCTACAATGAGTCTTCCAATGACAAATAATTATAGCTCTCAATTATGCCCTGGTATCTGCATGAGGTCCAGCTCATTCAATAAAACAAAGCATGGTGAAAAACTGCTGTTCCTCACCTCATTCTTTACCTCTGGGATCCACAGATCTCACTTCCTCATGTCCCCAAGAGCTGAGCAGAGTGAAAGTGGACACTGGAGAGCTCTAGGTAGTCTTCCTTTCTCCTCTTCCTGCTCACCCATGCACACTCATTCATTACATATTTAATGGGTACCTACCATGCCCTATACACCATACACAGATGCCAGGAATAGCTCTAACACACCATAGCAACTGCCCTCCAAGAATTTATCACTGAGAAAAGCAGAGAAGTTACTGCAATGCAATGTGAAAAAATGATGGATATACAGAATGCATGCTTCCTATGAGAAGTCAGGCACTGTTTGGAGTATTTACAGGAACTATCTCATTTTCTCCATATCACCACTGCTTAACTTCCTCTCTATGATGCGGTAGGCAGAGACCAGGGAACATTCAGTAGGAACACCTAAGCCACTAAACCAGCCAGGAGCACCTGAGCCACTAAACCAGTCAGAAGGTGATGGGGAGGGGAGGGAAAACAGCACGCATGTGAAAAGAAGGCTGAGCAGAAGACGTGAAACCTGAAGGATCAAAAGAAGTTTCCAGGTTGAAGAGGAGTAAGCAGAACTTTTCATGCAGAGAACTTACCAGGCAGAAAAATCCAGAGGGAAGAAAGACCACCGTGCCATCAGAAGATTATGGCAGAATTTGGTACTGAATCAGCGTAGCTACCCAAAGCAGTTCTTAACATGCTAGGGAGAGAGCTTTCAAGAGTTCTATCTAAAGAAGGGCCTCTGTGAGAAAGAAAGACCGGATAATTTTACATAAATATTTCTAAAACATGCGCCTTTAGAAGAAGCATGAAAAAATTTATTAATTTGTAGCACGTAATATCAATCCTGTTCTATTTTTAAACCCTGAATAATATTTATAGATTTAAAAGATTACTTATTGGAAAGTAATAATGGTGCATTAAGAATTTTACAAAAGCATAGAAATGACCTGGGAAATAATTTGTCGAAAGCTGAAATATTTCTTTAAAATACTCTTAAATAACACCCTTCACTCTAAATTTTGGCAAGATGGTTAGGCAGATTCATGACTTAAAAAATAAAAGTTGTATTTGATGGCAGAAAGTCAACTTTTTCAAACTCAGTTTCCACTCCGCTCCCCTTCTTTAGCGATAGAAGTATCATTTTATTTGGGCTGGCAAAGTGCCCATTTAAACACCACACTTGAGCCTCCCTTGAAGATAGCAGTGGCCAAGGAGTTTCAAGTAGAAGTCAATGAGTAGAGATTCCAGAAAGTCTCATTTGCCTGTTTTCCTTTCCCCTCCTCTTGCAGACAACTAGGCTGGAGCTCCTGTGGATTTGGGGACAAAGGCCTTACACCCAAAAGGCTGAAAGCCAGGAGCCTGTGTCCTTTCCTGATGACTTGATAGAAACACCACCCCAAGTGGTTTCCCCACAGAAAATCGAACCCTGTATAGTCAGATAGCTGTTCCTACTAGTCAAACAGAAATTTCATTGCAGATGCTGGAGAATATTTAAAGTACACATGGTAAGATTTGGCAAAAAACAGTTGCAAATACATTTAGGGTATTAAAAATATTTCATGATTCACTATCTTTTTCTGTCTAAATCGCACATCCGTATGATTATGAAACATCTTTTTAAATCAAAATAAATGTTTTCCAATGTTTTCTTTGGGCAGGAAAGACACCCAGTTCTTGAAACATCTGATCTACTCTGGGTGCTGAATTAGGGAGAGTGAGTAGGGCCAACAGAAAGATCTCTGGAGAGAGGGTGTATAGGCAATGTAGGGGGGGAAATGGAAGTTAAACATCAACAACAACAAATGTAAGCAATTTACAAAAGCTTCCTTGTGTTTTACAAGCCAGGTGAATTGTTAGATAAGAATCAATTTGGGGGTCTATGCCCTAAACCAGCGGTCCCCAATCTTTTTGGCACCACAGACTAGTTTTGTGGAAGACAATTTTTCCACACACTGGGGGCAGTAGGGAATGGTTTCAGGATGATTCAAGTATATTACATTTATCATGCACTTTATTTTTATTATTATTACATTATAATACATAATAAAATAATTATACAACTCACCACAATGTAGAGTCAGTGGGAGCCCTAAGCAGGTTTTCCTGCAACTAGATGGTCCCATCTGGGGGTGATGGGAGACAGTGACAGATCATCGGGCATTAGATTCTCATAAGGAGCACGTAACCTAGATCCCTCACATGCACAGTTCACAATAGGGTTTGCACTCCTATAAGAATCTAATGCCACCACTGATCTGACAAGAGGCGGAGCTCAGGTGGTAATGGGCAATGGGGAGCAGCTGTAAATACAGATGAAGCTTCACTTGCCTGCTCACTGCTCACCTCCTGCTACGCAGCCCAGTTCCCAAGAGGCCACAGACTGGTACTGGTCCGTGGTCCGGGGGTTGGAGACCCCTTCTCTAAATGAATATCTGGTTGCCACTGCCCATCATCACAGGATTTCATGGACTTAACTGTAATAGCATTCTTCTGCTACTGATATCCTGTCATTTTATCTTTAAAAGGTAGAGCTGCTTTATGGCAACTTACCTGATAAGTGACACACATTTCATTTGGTTTTTGTGGAAACGTTATTGTACCTCTTTCTCTATTCCCACCCTCCAAAATAGCTAAAGGATCATGGGCAACGAATTACACTCATCTAAACTTAGTAATTCCACAGGGCTGGGATGGAGTAAGGGGAGGGGTACTCCTGTCTTTGTGCAGAATCAGAAGTCTACTGACTGCAGAAGAGTCAGGATCATGTTCTCTACTCTAACTTAACTCTAAGCATAGGTTTTGTTTAAAGCTAGGAACAAAATCCAAATGGAGGCATTAAGCAAAGTAATTCCATTTCCATTTTTAGCTCTGTTCACTTTTTAAAACAAATCATTATTCCTCTCTATTTCAAATATTGGTTGCCAAACTAACAATAAGCCTACTGTCAAGTCTCTGCTATCTGACAATAACTGCTGAATTCCTACTGTATGGTAAGTTGTTACATAAACATCAGTTTTCTGGGATAGCAAAATGAGTATCACGTCCAGATTCAAACCTAGATTTCAATCCTGATTCTAATAATCACCAACTGCAGGTAAAACCTTGCAGATTAATTTCCCTCTCTCTGGCCCTAGTTCCTAAAAATCATAAAATGAAAATAATGCTTGGCCCTTCTGATACACTATGAAATCATTCCCCTTCTAACATTGTTGGAAAAATTAGTGCTAATATATATAAAGAACCTAGCAAAATGTTTGACACATAATGGGCATTTTATAATTATTAATACAATGCTAATTACTTAAAGGGTTTTAAATATTTAAGTAGCTAGATTACTTATTTGAGTATCAAAGATAAAAGACGAGAAAGTTCAAAAAGGAAAAAAAAAAAGATGAGAAAGTTAAAAAAAAAAAAAAAGCTGTCCAACTAAAAGCTTCAAACAAAATAACAAATAAAATGAGAGGCAGAGTGACTTCTAAGCAACAGTGTCCTCTCAGCTGCTATGTGAAACACCTGTAGTGATGAGAACTCACGACCTCAAAGAGCAACTCCACCATTTATTCAAGGCTGCATTAAGACATACTGAGGATAGTGTCTATTATATGTGTCCGTTTCTGCAGCAGGCTAGAGGAACACAAATAATGAGGACAGAGCCCCCTGCTTTTGAGGAATCCACAGCTTCCTCATATGAACAGACAAACATCGTACAGACATGAGCAACCAAAGAGGCGAACACAGGGTGCTACGGAGTGCAGAGGTGGGGCATGCAGCCCAACCTAGCGATGTCAGAGGGAAGGAGTAAAACCTTACCGGTGACAGAGAGCATAGTGCATCAGAAGGGCCTAGTTCCAAGCAGGAAGTGATAGATGATATGGTTGAGCAAGGTTCCCATCACAAGGCTTGAAGGCCACATGAAGACTCCTGAACTTTCTCCAGTGAGCTGTGAGGAGCCTTGGAAATGTTTTCAGCAGGAGAGTGACATGGTTAGACATGCTTTTTGTACAGAAACTCTGGTGGCAATGCAGAAAATGAAATGGGTGCAGGGGTGGGATGGGATGGTAAATCAGTAGTCTAGGTGAGCAAGGATAAGGCTACAGAAACATAACTCAAATTTTAAACTTGCCCAAACTGTTAAAATTACAATAAAGCTGGGCCTCTCTTGATTTCTGCAGAGGTTTTATACAAATGTAGTCTCCCAACAATTATCAGTGGCTCCAGAAGAATAGAATCAAGTGGTCTGGTTTTGAAGTCTCACATGAATGCATGATACAATGTTGTAAGCAACACTGTACATGAAAGATGAATTAGGAGACATTTTCACAAAGAGCAATGTGCGCACAAAGAGCAAAGTGCAACTTCACCCTAAAATACCACAGAGCACGTTCCCCACTAGTTTCATGCTCAAATGCCTCTAATTATAATCATCTGTTATTAATAGAAAGAAAAACGGTACCCCAAACATCTATAATTTTTCTGCATGGTGTGGGTAAACTACCATCTAAAACAAATATTTAGATTTAGGTAAAGAATAAAATTCTAATAGCCCTCAAATTCTGACCACTTTTAAGACTTTTCCCTCCAAAGACTTGAATGTCTTTGGCCTGCAAGTATGAAGTCTCTTATCAAAAAGAGAGTAAAACAAATCTCTGGATATCATAAAGGATCATATCTGTGCTTAGCTGTCAGCTGAAATTGTTCGTAAAAAAGAAGAATACCACCCAAGTTGTCTGGCTGACTATGAGTTGGCTGCTGCCTGTGCATTCATACACACACAAAAATGTGTATAAACATGAACATCTAGGCACAAATATCCATCTGGACAGGATGTTAACACCATTCCTCAATTCCTTACGGGTCCTATTCTCTTCCAGAAGTATAAAATCTACCAACTGGCTAAAAGCACTTCAATTTGGGTGAGAGGGAGAGAAGATGGAGAGGAGTCAATTCTTTGAACCCAGACAAGGACTCATCTCCATAAGATCATTCAGAAAGCTTAAGAGGTTAAATACATCAGAGCCCTAATTCATCCCTATGAAAAAAGTACTAAATTCTTCTCTCCTCTCTAATCCTGTCTAAGTCTTTCTTTGGATTTGGTCCCCGGCACAGATTTAATGAGGCGCGTTTCCACACACTTTGACTGAGAGAGATGTACTCAGGGAAAGAGTGGCAACAAAAAGTGGCTACTTATACCACACTGACTTGGGAAAAATTGGCAGAAGAAATGTTCTGGTGGCATAATGAATCCTGGAACTGGACTGTTCCCATTCTTTCCTTGGTTGAGATTGGGTAATCGCTAAACCCAGCACTTGATTTTGAAGCTTCTACACCTCTGGTCAAAATATCCTTCACTGTTTCATTTGGTCTTCCCAATCCCCTCCCTCTCAGTCTTTCACCCCACTTAACTAGGGGATCTTATAGCTAAAAGCTGAAGAGCAAAGGCTCTACAGCCAGACCCTGTAGATTTGAATCCTTAGCACTTACCTACTCTCTGTGCCTGCTTTCTCTCCTGCCCATCAGGACCAGCTTCCCAGGGTTCTCCTGAGGATGACACGGCATAACCTATGTGAGCTGCTCAGCACAGGGCCTGGCACAGAGCTCCATAAAGGGTCCCAATGGTCTCATTAGTCTTAAGTAACAAAAGCATGGTAAACACTTAGGAGGGCAGCGTTCAAGCCCTGTGACACTTGCCATTTTGTGGAAAATAAATACTAAAAGCATAAAAATACCAGTTACCATTTTGATATATCTATAAAGAGATGTCATAGGATTATCCAACTATCTTCCATCTTTGTATTTTATTATCGTTTTCTATAATTAAAATGCCATGTGAGTTATTCTTAATTACCTTAAACTTCACCTTCCTAATTGTCTACTCCTATATCCTGCTGTGACTCCATTAACATGGCCTCCGGGGGTGGATTTCAAGAGATTTATGATCACCTACAGTTAGTTTCCCCCTCACTAATTTTTAATGGTTTTCTACTGATAAATAATGACTTAAAATAAATTAGCTAATTTTTAGACCACGTAGTTGTTTTCACTAGGAATCCACTGAACTATATTTGTTTTTCACCAGCTGTCTGGATAATTACACTTAGTCCATGTTTTTAAAAAGTCAGTAGAGAATGAATATGTTAATCATTAGCCTCTCTTTTTTTGGGGACTTTTTTTTTTGCTGTTGTTGTTGTTGTTTGTTTGTTTGTTTTACAGAAGGTCTGGCTATCACCCAGGCTAGAATGCAACTGGTGTGCAATGGAGCCATCTCAGTTCACTGCAACCTCTGCCTCCCAGGCTGAAGCCATCCTCCCACCTCAGCATCCCAAGTAGCTGGGATCACAAGCATGCACTACCATGTCCGGCTGATTTTTGTATTTTTTGTAGAGGTAGGGTTTTGCCATGTTGCCCAGGCTGGTCTCTGACTCGTGAGTTCAAGCTATCCACCCACCTCAGGTTCTCAAAGTGCTAGGGTTACAGGCGTGAGCCACCACTCCCAGCCTGGACTTCCCTATATTCTCTAATTCGCCTGAACTTATGCAAGGGGTTCAGAATGAAAACATATCAAATCACATCTCAAAGGCAACTCAATAATTGGATATAAAAGACTTAAAATTAGACATTTTTTAAAGTAACAAAAGATGAGAACCACAAGGTAAACAGGAAAGTGAATGACTACAGGTGTCCTGGGTGCATTTCTGCACCTAAAATCAAATAGCACTAAATGTAAATTTACATATGGTATTAAAATGCTCACTTTAAATTGTTAATTTTTTTAGTAGAAAGGAAAAGCAAGAAAAGAGTCCACTGTGATCCTAGCACAGAATTTCCACAAAACTGAAAGGTTTCTAGTTTGTTCTTGTATTTTACACAATATATATTAATTCAGCCAAGATAAAATGACCTTTGTTTTTTTGTTTGTTTGTTTTTTGTTTTGGAAACAGAGTCTTGCTCTGTCACCCAGGCTGGAAAACAGTGGTGCAATCTTGGCTCACTTCAAACTCCGCCTCCTGGGTTCAAGTGATTCTCCTGCCTCAGCATCCCGAGTAGCTGGGATTACAGGCACCCACCACCAAGCCCAGCTAATTTTTGTATTTTTAGTAGAGACGGGGTCTCACCATGTTGGCCAGGCTGGTTTCAAACTCCTGACCTCAGGTGTTCCACCCAACTAGGCCTCCCAAAATGCTGGGATTACAGGCGTGAGCCACTGTGCACGGCTGACTTCTTCTTTTTTTTTTTTTTTTTAAGACTAAGAGAAACAGAATGTCTATTATTTTAAGATGTGTGCAATTTGTGAAAAACACTAGTCTGGCCGGGCACGGTGGCTCACGCCTGTAATCCCAACACTTTGGGAGGCCGAGGTGGGCAGATCAACTGAGGTGACTCAGGAGTTCAAGACTGGCCTGGCCAACATGGCAAAAACCCGTCTCTACTAAAAATACAAAAAAATTAGCTGGGCATGGTGGCAAACGCCTGTAATCCCAGCTACTTGGGAGGCTGAGGCAGGAGAATCGCTTGAACCTGGGAGGTGGACGTTGCAGTGAGCCAAGATCACACAACTGCACTCCAGCCTGGGCAACAGAGCAAGACTCCGTCTCAAAAAAAAAAACAAAAAACAAAAAAAACACTAGTCTAAACTTTGTATTTAAAAACAGAGGAGGACTGCATGCAATGGCTCATGCCTGTAATCCCAGCATTTTTGGAGGCTGAGGCTGGAGGATCGCTTGAGCCCAGGAATTCAAGATCATCCTGGACAATATAGTAAGGGCTTGTCTCCACTAAAAATAGAAATTAAAAAAAAAGAATTAGTCCAGCATGGTAGCATATGCCTGTAGTCCCAGCTACTAGGGAGGCAGAGACAAGAGGATACCTTTAGTATGGGAGGTCAGGGCTGCAGTAAACCATGTCACACCATGGCACTCCTGCGTGGGTGACAGAGGGAGACCCTGTCTTAAAACAAAGCAAAGCAAAACAAAACAAAACAGGGGTTTAGACAGGTGTGTTGGTTCATGTCTGTAATCTCCTAACTTTGGGAGGCCCAGGCAGGAGGAATGCATGAGCTCAAGAGTTCAAGAGCAGCCAGGGCAATATAGTGAGACCTTGTCTCTATTTAAAATAAAAAAAATAAAAAATAAATTGGCCCCGCATCGTGGCACATGCCTGTAGTCCCAGCTACTCAGGAGGCTGAGGCAAGAGGATCACTTGAACCCAGAAGGTCAAGGTTCCAGTTAGCTATAATTGTGCCACTAAACTCCAGCCTGGGTGACAGAGCAAGACCCTGTCTCTAGAAATGAATGAATGAATGAATACATACATATATACACACATACATACATACATACATACATACATACATACATACCTACATACACACACACATGGAAAAAGAGGGGTACTGGTCCTGGGTAGGATGAAGGAAGGGTACTCCATCTCATTTCTCTACTGAATGCAGTTATAATACCTGGAAAGATTATAAGCAGCTATTTGAGGGGTCTGAAAAGTAAACGATAGCAGGCTGATTAGGGAAGAAGAATGAATCTCAAGGTACTACCAAACTGGCAATGAGCGTCCCACTTTTTTCGTAAGAAATCACCAGCCTGGACTCAAGGCAGCTAGACATGGCATACCAGGATGTGGACAGAGGGAACAAACTGAGTTTTAGCTAGAGGAGCAGAAAAGGGAATTCCTAAACCTGGAGAAAATGGGGGAAACACTCCATTTTTCTTTCCTTTTTTTTTTCTTTTTAATTCTCTTGCTTCCCAATCCAAGGCAATTCCAAGGTGGTGGTGGACAGCGGGGACAACAGTCACATATACTCTGAGGGAAAGGAACCTTCCTCTCTGATCAGAGGAGCTCTGATCTCAAGATGTAGGAGCAAACATCTGCTGCTTTTTTCCTCTGTCTTTCTGCCTCTTGGCCCGAAATGCAAGCAGTCACAGGAAGTACGTCCTATTCTAATGTCTCATCTCTGTGGCTGGAAAAGTAAAAAGGGGAACCCCAGGGAAGGAGGAAGTCATGGAGAAATCGACTTACACAAATATAACCAATTGATTCTTGGTAAAGGTACAATGGCAATTCAATGGAGAAAGATTGTGTTTTCAACAAAGGTGCTGGAATAATTAGACATCCATATCTAAAAAAGGAAACCTGACCTAAAACAGATCTTACAGAAATATTAATTCAAAATAAATCATATATATCTAAATGTAAAACTATAAAACTTTTAAGAGAAAACATAAAATCTTTATAACCTTTAGTTAGTCAAAGAGTTCTTGGAAATCACCCCCACTGTACTTTAAAAAAAAGATAAACTGTACTTCTTCAAAATTAGAGAAATTTTGTTCAGAGAAATACACTATTAAGCAAATGAAAAAATAAGGTATAGACTTGGAAAAAAATTTGCAAATCACATATGCAACAAATAATTTGTATCCAGAATACATAAAAACAAAATAAAACTGAAAACTCAACCAAGAAATAACCCAATTTAAAAAGTGGTTATTTAAAACCTTGAACAGATGCTTCATCAAAAAAGATATACAAATGGCAAGTAAGCATATGAAAAAATGTTCAACCTCATTAGCCACTAGAGAAATGCAGGTTAACACCATAATGAGACACCACTACACATCCATCCAAATGGGTAAAATAAAAAATACTGATAATACCTTGATAACAGGAAATGCTGTCAAGGATGCCATGCATCTGAAACTTTTATACATTGCTGGTGTAAATGGAAAATGACACAAATACTCTGGAAAATAATTTCAAAGTTCCTCAGAAAGTTAAACATACCCCTACCATGTAATCCAGCAATCCCAGTCCTGGGAATTTACCCAAGGGAAAGGAAAGCCTATGTTCACATAAACACTAAAACACAAATGTTCACAGTAGCTTTTTTTTTTTTAATACCTCCAAAGTAGAACAAACCAAATGTCCTTCAATGGGACACTGGATAAATAAATTGCAGTACCTTCATATAAAGGGATCTACTCAGCTATTAAAAGGAACCAAGTATCTATACTATCCACAACAAATTGCATGAACCTCCAAGGCATTATATTCAGGGAAAGAAGTCAGCTTCAAAACATGATCTAGGTCCTCGCACTTTGGGAGGCTCATTTGAGCCCAGGAATTTGAGACCAGCCCGGGCAACACGGCGAGACGCCATCTGTTAAAATAATTAATTAATTGATTAATTAATTAATTAGAGATGGTCTGCTCTATACTTCCACATAAATGACACCATCCCAGAGAGAACACTATCGGAGACCAGCCTGGGCAACACAGTGACACCCGCGTTTTTGTTTTTTTTGTTTTGTTTTGTTTTGTTTTTTTCTTACAGAGAGAAAACTATGGAGATGGGGAACAGATCAGTGTTAGACAGGAGGTAGAGGTGGGGAGACAGTATAACATAAAAGAACTTTTTTGTTCTTGTTTTAAAGAGTCTTGCTCTGTCGCCCAGGCTGGAGTGCAGTAGCACCATCTCAGCTCACTGCAACCTCCACCTCCCAGGTTCAAGCAACTCTCCTGCCTCAGCCTCCCGAGTAGCTGAGATTACTGAGTAGCTGAGATTGCACCACCACACCTGGATAATTTTTGTATTTTTAGAGATGGGGTTTCACCATGTTGGCCAGGCTGGCCTCAAACTCCTGACCTCAAATGATCCACCTGCCTCGGCCTCCCAAAGTGCTGGGATTATAGGCGTGAGCCACTATGCCTGGCCCACAAAGAAACTTTTTGAGCGAGGTAGAAGAGTTATGGGGTAGTTACACAAGTCTATACGTGTTTAGATTGATACCATCCTGGCTAACACGGTGAAAACCCGTCTCTCTTAAAAAAAAATACAAAAAATTAGCCGGGCATGGTGGCAGGCGCCTGTAGTCCCAGCTACTTGGGAGGCTGAGGCAGGGGAATGGTGTGAACCCGCGAGGCAGAGCTTGCAGTGTGCTGAGATCACACCACTGCACTCCAGCCTGGGCAACAGATCTAGACTCCATCTCAAAAAATAAATAAATAAATAAATAAATAAATAAATAAATAAATAAAACGAACAAATTGACAGATTTGTTATTCGGAGGCACAAAAAAGTTTTAAAAAAACATAAAAATACCTCAAATTTACAAAAACATATTTTATGACTAACTTACATAAATATGGTACTGAAAACTGCCACAGAAATGAGTTTTAAAGATAATGGAACAATGTAGTATTAAGTGTTATTTAAACCAGTGTACTTATAAAATATTTTTAGAGATACCACAAAACCATTTCTTTCCAAAGTTAACTGTTCAGCCACAAAAATATGACTGTTTAACAGCAAGAACGCTAATGTTCAACAGAGCCCAACAGTTCTTGCCATTTGGCTTCTGGCTTTTGAGACACTGATGTTACAAAGCAGGTGAAACATCCGGGAAACAGATGCATGAACTCGGAGTCATCCAAAATTTGTCCACTACAATCCAGGCCCATCTCTACCCCACCGGGTTATACATACCTCCTTCATTTCCTCAACAGGAAGCACCCAATACACATACAGTTTGTTTTAAAACTTGAAGAGTGTGTATACAAAAGGAAAAGGTCACAGAAACCAGTTTCAGCAGGAGCATCTGCACTGTGTCATCAAGACCACCACAACTGCGGTGCCTCTACAACGTGCCCAAATATGACCTACCTCACTGTAAACCTCCTGCTAGAAATGATGCTTTCCTCAATGGAGTAAATGAAAGTGAGGAACAGCTCTCAATTACACTGTTAAACAAAAATGATCCAGCCTTGGTTCAAAATGCTATGATAAAATAATTTCTTAACACTGCACTCTTTCTGTCCAAATACTATTAGTCTTCCACTGGAGGCATTTTAGCCTTTTTCAAGGAAACACAATAATAACCATTAAAAGGGCAATTTGGATGTTGCCCTCATTCCACTTTCACTGACTGCGCCTTCCCTTTTTCAGCTGTGTCCTATGTACATAGCTCTGGCCATTCAATTCATAAAATAACCACAAATGTGTTACATTGGAAGACATTTTGAAAGCAGAATTTTTGTTTTAATGGAGAAGCTACGGATAATTTTTTTCTTTCTAATTTTCTCTATTTTTCAAATGTTCCCAATATTGAAACATCAAGATAGGTGAAGAATTCCCTTTCCTCTACTCCTGACATAATTTGCCAAAAATTATGACAGTGACTTGTATTGGTTTTCAAATACAAGGAAAAATCCTACTGTTTGAAGGTATTACCTAATCCCCCACCACCATCATCACAAAGAGGAGGAGGGGGAAAGATACACTAAACTTTCCAACAACATTGTTCTCACCAATTAATAAAAAAAAATCAGTTACAAACATAAGGAAAGTCTGGTTATTTCTAAATGGGAGAGACTGCTTCTTGATGTGTTTAGCTTGCTGGAGAACAGTATGCAGGAACAGATAAGCTTTTAACAAACCTGCTTTTATTACAATATTTCAAGCCTGAAGTATATGCTATAGCATTCTTTAAAGACTGGTACTTCTTGGTGTTCTGTCAGACATGTACTTAAAAATAATCACCTGGTTACACATGACCAAACCTTGGCTCACATGCACAAGGAACACTGTTTTTTATTACATGTCAACAATAAACAGGGATGTCAAGTGACACCTTCACAGCAGTGCTTTCCCTTCTGTTGCCTAAGATGCTATTATTTCTATTAGTCTGAGTGGCCAGCAAAGACATTCTACATTCAAAAGAAAATTGACAGTCAGAATTTCACACATGCACACACACCTACACACACAAAATGTTCTTAAGAAAACTCATTCATTTTACACGATTTACAGCCTGAAATTTAAGGGTTTTTTTTCAGGCTGGAATATATTAGCAATGCCTACTGGCAAAAATGCAAGTTAGAAAATCAGAATTAAGAATCAACTATAAATAGCCAAATGAAGAGAGGAAAAACTGGAAGCTATTATGTGAAGCCCGAAGATACCAATCAGGGGAGGGATTCTGATGGGTCCTACGTACTGATAGGAGGGACTGATGAGCAGTGTGGTGCACAGCAGAGATGTCCTCACCTGAACAATGACAGGGCTGAACTGAGATTACTCCACAAATCCCTCACAACTAAATAATTCCCATTCTATAATTTTGGCACAAGATTGAGACCTTTTTATATTGTGATCTCCTTATAGGCTTTGTCTTCTTTATCACCCTGGCATGGTGCCTGGACCTAAGAGATACTCAAACAGCTGCAGAATAGAATGAATTAGAAAAGAAAGTCAATTACTTGCAAAGGACTGTATCTCCCAGTGGGCATTATCCACTGGTCCACTGAAGCACTCAGCACACTCCCAGTTGGCCAACAGCAGAATCACCGTCAGTTTGGAGGATTTTTGTAAGTGCCTGACAATTCCATGTAAAATAACTAAATTTTCTTAGACAAAATTCACTTTCCAGCTAACTTCATAGTTGATCATAGCTTGTACTGGGAGAAGTCTCAGCTCTGCCAACTATTTACGGCTCATTTTTATTTGCATTATCTACGTTACCTTCAACCCATAATTCTCTGTAGGAATCTTTATAAGCCAAGTGTCAATTTTGCAGCTGTTGCTTTAATTAAAACTGGTTAACATAATCTGTAAGTCTGATGAGTAAATGTAGCATGTCACAACAGGCTGAAAGCAAACAAGGGAATGCAGGACCCTTTGCACTATGGAAGTTCCACATAATCCCAGGATAGCTGCATTCAAAATAGGACACTTGTCATCTGACAGATGACATGAGCAAGGTTCCCAGTTTCAATCAAATATTAAATATTAGTACATTTTAGCTTATTTCTTAGAACAGCTTAATGACAGCTCTAATATTTTCTTCCTGTCCTTCAGCAAATGCACTTATTTGGAAAACATAGTTCTAGACTCCTTCTGAGAACATTTCTGTTCTCAAGTTATTTTTCTCCCATCACTTTGACCACATCACCCAAATCCTTCCTCAGCATTTTTAAAGTACCATTATATAAAAGAGAAAGCCCAGAATGATCTTCCTGTTTCGAAGACAGACTTACATCTCATCCAGTTTAACCTTTTATTTTCTATCCATGAGTAGTTCCACATATAGGATTTTTAAGGCAGATCCCCACTACTCCTCCTTTTCGCACCTAACTTTACAGAAGAAAAAACCAAAGAACAGTGCTAGAAATGAAAAGACCAATAAATTTGAATCAGAAAATCTGGGCTCAAATTCTGCCAGTACTAGCTGTGTAAAAAGGGATGGGGGAACAAACCTTTCTGAAACTATTTCTAAACTCAGGAAAATTCCACTTTGTTCCACTGTCTTGGTTATTATAAAGAGTAATAACTATTATAAATGATGAATAATGATTATGAAGATTAAAAGTAATTTTATTTCTAGACTTACAGTTATATATTATGTTATAATTATTGTACAGATAAAAGCAATTTTATTTTTATATGTACCTTTAATTAAATAAAGGTAATCTTGTTTATATCTTATTACACTTACATATGAAAGCTGAAAGTAATGTGTACTGTTTTCATTCATGGTCTCTCTTAGTCATTCTATGAAGCACCAACACTCAACAGCAACCAAATTTAAAAAGCCTCTCTTTAAAGTTTCATGTTATCCATTATTATAATATAATTATCATGTAATTAGAGAAATAACACCCATTTTAAGTGGAAAATTAAGCCAGGTGCTGTGGCTAACGCCTATAGTCCCAGCTACTCAGAAAGCTAAGGTGGGACGATCATTTGAGCCCAGGAGTGTGAGGCTTCCGTGAGCTATGATCACACTACTGCACTCCAGCCTGGGTGACCAAGTAAGACCCTGCTTTTTTTTTTTTTTTTTTAAGTTTTCATAGAATAAAGTCCCAGAAGTAATATTAGCAAGATAACCATTTTTAGGGCTCTTGGCACATACTAGATGATTATTTTTTACAAAGTTCACATAGTAAAAACTCACTTAACCAAGATAATAGGAAACTTGGTTTGGAAACTGAGAAACACTATATATCTCAGACATTTTATTTAAACTGAACATGTTATACATTCATTAACCAACTTTGTAATGTAAGGACAAGGCCTTTTGTAAGAATAATCAGTCTCCTGAATGACTGTTAGTCTAGTCATTCTTATACAAACCACCCAAAAAAGCATCATGACAACTTTCAATTTCCCTTTTTATTAGAGTATAGCACAAACTCAAAGCTCTCAAGAAGCAATCTGAGAATGCTTAGAGTAGTTTAATTATTTCCCCCCAATCTTTTATAGTCATCATGACCACACGTAACATATTATAACAGCAGCTTTGAGTTTGTGGTTTTTTGGATTTTTTTTTTTTTTGAGGCTTGCCTTTGGAAGCTTTCCAAAGTATTTAACATATTTTTGTAGAAAAATAATACTGATTTAATCAGATAACATAACATTTTAATTACGCAATTACAACAAGTCCTACTGACCAAAACAGGGTTTGCTACAAACAAAACTGACTCTTGATCAATATTCAAGTCAACCAGCTGACACAGAAGGACATGAGAGTCTAGACGGAGGCTGCCTGACCCAAAGCAGTGAGGGTGGTGGGCATCCATGCACTTCGCAGGAGGAGGTGGTCCCTGAAGAGTGCTCTCATCTCTCAGCACCTGGCACTTAGCATTATTTTAAAAGATATTTATTAACCCTTACGTGTATGAAGGTACGATACAAACACAAGAGGCCCTGAACTGCTTCTACCTTCCTCCTCTACCCAACCTCCAAATGTTGGGCCCCAGGGCTTGGAGTCAGGTAGGCCTGGTCTCTAGCACTCCTATCTTTTCTATCTAAATTCAATAATTAGCTGACCTCACCCAGTCCCAAAGATTTAAATGCCATCCAGAGACTGAAGACTTTGAAATGTAAAACTCTAGATAACATCTCTCCCAAGCACGTCAAACTTAACAGAATGTGGATCATCCAACTCCCAACCTGTTCTGTCCACCAGACCAATAACCACTACTACCATCCACACAGCCACTCAGGCCAAATGAGTAAGTTGTCCTTGGCTTTCCCATTTGTAACTCCATATCCAATCTAACAGTAATTCCTGTCACCTCTCTCTGTTTGTTTCCCTGTCTTCTGTCCTTAAAATGTAAGCATCTAGAGGGAAAGGACCCTGTCTTGTTCGAGGATGTGCCTCCAGCCCCCAAGGCAGTCCCTGACACACAGCAAGTCCTTAACTCACACTTTTTTCCCCCAAGACAGAGTCTTGCTTTGTTGCCCAGGCTGGAGTGCAGTGGTACAATCTCAGCTCACTGCAATCTCCGCCTCTTGGGTTCAAGCAGTTTTCCTGCCTCAGCCTCCCGAGAAGCTGGGATTACAGGCACATGCCACCACGCCCGACTAATTTTCGTATTCTTAGTAGAGATGGAGTTTCACCATGTTGGCCAGGCTGGTCTAGAACTCTTGATCTCGTGATCTGCCTGCCTCAGCCTCCCAAAGTCCTGGGATTACAGGCATGAGCCAATGCACCTGGCCCAATTCCCACTATTAAGTGGAAAACACTCCTAAAAAAACCTCTGAGGCCGGGTGCGGAGGCTCACGCCTGTAATCCCAGCACTTTGGGAGACCCAGGTGGGTGGATCACAAAGTCAGGCAGGAGATAGAGACCATCCTGGCTAATACAGTGAAAACCCGTCTCTATTAAAAAAAATACAAAAAATTTGCTGGGTGTGGTGGTGGGTGCCTGTAGTCCCAGCTACTCGGGAGGCTGAGGCAGGAGAATGGCGTGAACCCAGGAGGCGGAGCTTGCAGCAAGCCGTGATCAAGCCACTGCACTCCAGCCTGGGCAACAGAGCAAGATTCCATCTTAAAAAAACAAAACAAAACAAAATAAAACAAAACAAAAAAAACTCTGAGTCCTCTGGGAAGTTTTCCATATATAATTAGAAGAGTAGGAGAAATTTTTCCAACCCCTATTAAACTACATAATAGTCACAGCTTGGGAACAGACTACTGCCCCAACACTCTCATTTTATAAATATGGGCCCTAAGGTACAGAAAGTTTACATCATTTACCCCAGATGATGAGAACCCAGAGCTCCTAATGCAAACATCCAATGACCTACAAGCAGCTCCGCCAGGTGATCACCCACTAAGTCCCCACTCCCTTTGTTATATACAACTCTTGCAAGTAGTTGGAAAACTGGATTAAATTAACATTAGATATGTATATTTTTTCACTGGGGGCTTGTAAGAAATCATTCTGCAGGTGGCTTCTTGCAATGCCCCCAGTTACACAGTCACTTAAAAAGTTTGGGCGCTGCTGAAGTGTCAGATAGCAATTCACAGCAGACAGGAATTAAAAGTGAGGTTGTCCAGATTCTAAATCCCAAAGTCACTACAGCAAGCTATTGCTGCTAACTTTGCTTCTTTCTTTTGCAAACGTGTCCGTATCAGGATCTACTATAAATTTCTAGTACAGAGAGAGAAAGTAGCTGGGTGGCTGTAATTTGGTAACTGTCATCCAGTTTCACATTTACATTCAAAGGTTCTTCATAACATAAGGCCCTACCCAAAAGCTCCCCACTTGGTGTGAAGAAATGTTACCTTACAGATTTAATCATTTCCCTGTCTCAATCTGAATACCCAAGTATTTACAAAGCTCCTAGAATTTCTTCATCAAGCTCCCTTGACACAGGTAAAGGGTCTGCCAAGCACCACCAGCCCCAACCCGAACTAATGCTGCTGCCCCAGGCTCAGGACTGGCAAGGCTGCAGAAGTCAGAGTCAGGTCTCCCTTCAGTTCCCATCCCACTCACATGACCACACCATCCTCCTGGTTATGACGGAGCATGACTTATGAATTATCCAACGCTTGATCAAAGTTCTGCCTCATGTTTGTTTTTATTGGAAACAACTAATAAGCACTTGAAAAGCAACAAAATAGTTTTTCCACAAACGTCACTTTACTCCTCATAAACACTGCCCTATGAGGTATACAGCAACATCACCTTCCTCATTTTTCACATGAGAATATGGATGAAAGGGGGACCAATCCCACACTGTAGTAAAGTCCAGACCTGCATCAAAGTCCTCCAGAATAAAACCCTTGCTCTTTTGCCCACACTAACAGCATGCACATTAGATATCTTCGCTACGATGAGCAGAGAGAGCATCATTCTGTTCACTCACTCATTCATTCCAGCTCTATACTGCTTTGATTTTTTTTTATTTTTTGCACTTGGGGATGGGTTAAGAAACATAAAGCTTTTGACCTCTAGGAGGGTCATAATGTGGGGGAAGGGGATGACAGGACAAACACATAACAGGTAAAACAAAAATAATAATGCAAGGAAAACAGTGTTGCCCTCTCACATCTGTACTGCACTTCACAGCATGTAGAGTTTTCATGTGGATCTAGCAACCCCTCACCTCATCCCCGAATAATAACTAAGCACTAGAGTGATGCTGGGGATGCTGGGGCTTGGTTTAGGTGGCTGGGGAAGTTATCTTGGAGGTGAGACTCCAGTGGACTCTGCGGATGGGTAAGGTCTCAGAGAGGTTGGGGAAGTTATCTTGGAGGTGAGACTCCAGTGGACTCTGCGGATTGGTAAGGTCTCAGAGAGGTTGAGGTTAAGAAGAGAGCATTCCAGACCATTCCAAAATCAGCACATAACACACATGGCTTGAAAATGGAAAAAGACTTAGAAAGTAAGGGAACTGGGCTGGAGTACTTGCTTTTCTAGTGTGGTATAATAAGAGCTACAGAAGAAAACAAGGGAGATTGTTAACCAGGGCTTAGAACTCATCCAAAATGAATGACTAGGCCTACAAGAGAACAAAGAACATAACAAGCTCGTTTTCATCATGTGTTTCTCCCAGATACAAAGCTGAGACTTTTCATGATGGGTTTTTATATAGCTCCTGTCCTCCAAGATGAAAATTCACCATTTATACTTCTTCATTCTGTTTTTACTACAAAAGATTAAGATCTTTTTACTTACACATTGCTATAATTCTTTGAATTGTATGTGACATGGTTTGGATATGTGCCCCTGTCCGAATCTCATGAGACCACACTAGAAAGCAAGTACTCCAGCCTAGTGTTAAGAGGTGGGGCCTGGTGGGAGGTGTTTGGATCATGGGAGCTTAAAACCCATGAGTGGCTTAAAACCATCCCCTTGGAGTGAGTAGGCTCTCATCTGTTTTTTTCCCAAGTGTGTGGCACCCACCCCTGCCAATCTCTCTCTTGCTCTCATTCTCACCATGTGAGAAACCACCACCCCGTCTTTGCCTTCCACCATGATTGTAAGCTTCCTGAGGCCTCCCCAGAAGCTGGGCAGATGCCAGCACCATGCTTGTACAGCATGCAGAACTGTAAGCCAATTAAACCTCTTTTCTTTATAAATTAACCAGTCTCAGGTATTTCTTTATAGCAACGCAAGAATGAACTAACAGTATCTATCTCCATTTGGGTACTTATTTAAATATGGCTCTAGCTTTTAAAGTAGAGACAATGCCTTTTATTTCTTCTGTCTGCCTTAGAGGGTCTAGAACAATACTCAAGAAAGTTACTCTACGAAAGTCATTGACAGATCAGGAAATAAAAGACCCAATTTTTAAAAACTGCAACTGATTATAGGAGAAGTCCCTGTAACAGACAGACAGACACAGACAGACACACACACACACACACACACACACACACACACACACACACCCCTCTAACTGCTTTTCCCCTTTATGGTTTTACTCATTTGTCCTTACTATGTGCCAGGCATTGTTTTAAGCATTTTATATATACTTTCCCAAGATCACAACGCTGGTAAATGATAGAAGCCAATACTTTTTCTTTCTTTTTTTTTTTTTTTTTAAGAGATGGGGGTCTAGTTATGTTTGGCAGGTTGGTCCTGAACTGCTGGCCTCAAGCAATCCTCCCACCTCATCCTTCCAGAGGGCTAGGATAACAGGCATAAGCCACCATGCCCAGTCAAGATTTGAATCCAGACAGTCTGGTGCCAGAGGTATGCACTAAACCTCTAGGCATGACATTGTCTCTCAAAATGACTCATTATACTTAAAAACATAAGGGACAATTTTTGCTTCTTCGGTTTTTAAGCTGTGGCACCAATCACATACTTTTTTGAAAACTGGGCACAATGCAAACCACAATTACGTTTTTAAATTACAAAAAAAATACTCCAAGATTTTAATAGGCTTCTACATAATGCTTAGATTTGGGCTTTGCATGTTGTTTTTATTAGAAAGTGCATCTGCTCTTGGCATTAAGCACGACAAAATTAGCTATTTTATGATTACACAATAAGAATGTAAGTATCATCTCATCAAACAAATAGTGAATGACGAATGCTTCTTCTTGGAGAAATTTCTTTTTAAACATATTAATGTATAAATAGATAGGCAAATATTACTTGATTCAAATAACCTGATATCTACAAAGACAAGAGAGTTCTTTACCTGTAAATAGTCAACATTCACTTGAACGACAAAGAATCCAACGGTGCATTTGTAAATATCCACACACATACAATGTTGGCTCACAGAACTCCCCAGCGACAGTAATTAATGCTGACATAAATCTGGACACTGAAATGGCAATGGAATTGCTTTCACATGACAATTCAAAGTGTTGTTCCAAGCAGGCAGGAAAATTTCTCTCTAGAAATGTTGAAAACTGTGTCTGAGTTATGAGATAAAATAGTTTGCGTTATATCCCTAAAATCATTTAAATATTACATCTATTAATGACTAATTTATAGATCAAAAGCACTCACATAACATGCCCAAATTCAATTAAATGGAGAGAACTACTATGGAAGAGAAAATTGTTATCAAAATAAACTGAAAGAACAAGTAACTAATGCCATTACATTGGTTCTGTGCACAATAAAAAATAGTTTATTAAAAGATAACTGGTCAATGTGCTTGAGACCATGAACATCCATTTTAGTCAGAAATAGTGGCAAACCCTAAACACAATAAATACTACTTAAGAAAATGTATTTAGTTCATAATGCATACAAATCTCCACTTTAGGTACCATTTTGGGGTTAAAAAATATAACGCTGCTATGAGGACACAATTAGAACACAGTGAATTTTATTACTGTTTTTTTTTTTTTTTTCAGTATGGCTCTATTAATGCCTGTTGTTTATCTACACAAATACAGAGCAGCCTGGGAACTGTCCTAGTTTCTTTGAGAGTTATCAACTGAAGCTAATGTTTCCTTAGAGAACTCCACTTTGAAAGGGTACTATGAACCTGGCCAGTTTTCATTGCTGTTTAGACAGACACAAGCACAATTTGCAGTGTGGGCAACACCACCTCTTAGATGCAATCCGCCTGTCTTCAAGTGAGTCTCCCAGTAGTCCTCACTGTGTTCGTTTGCTCTGCCAAAAATAAACAACAGCCTCTCCCCTAGTAAACAGCAGGTAGGAATGGGTTTAATCATAAATTCTAGTGGATGGCAGTCCAGTAACAAAGCAGAGCTCTCTTTGGTGGTAGCATTAGCTTCTTTCTGCCCTGCTCAAAACACCCCTAAAGTACACTGACTTGGACATGATCTCATTCAATATATGAAGCCCTGTGATGGTTAATACTGAGTGTCAACTTGATTGGATTGAAGGATGTGAAGTATTGATCCTGGGTGTGTCTGTGAGGGTGCTGCCAAAAAAGATTAACATTTGAGTCAGTGGGCTACGGAAGGCAGGCCCACCTTTAATCTGGTGGGCACAATCTAATCAGCTGTCAGTGAATATAAGCAGGCAGAAGAATGTGAAAAGGCGAGACTGGCCTAGCCTCCCAGCCTACATCTTTCTCCCATGCTGGATGCTTCCTGCCCTTGAACTTTGGACTCCAACTTCTTCAGTTTTGGGACTCGGACTGGCTCTCCTTGCTCCTCAAGCTTGCAGACAGCCTATTGTGGAAACTTGTGATCGTGTAAGTTAATACTTAATAAACTCCCCTTAGTTCTGTCCCTCTAGAGAACCCTAATACAGATTTTGGTACCAAGAGTGGTTCTAAAGAAACAGAATGTTAAGGATGGAGTTCTTTCATTGGTTTCGGGGTTTCTGGAGTTGGCTGCTTAATAAGAAAATGCTAAGGACTCTACTTCTAATAGTACAGATAACACTGAGAGTCCTTGGCACGAACTGTTTAGAGTTATGCAAAATAAATGCATTTGACACTACTGATTCACCACTGTGAGCAGCAAGGAGTTTGGTGACTACATAATACCATATGTGGAGAACCAAGGAACATAATGAAGCTGGTTGGTTGCTCCTAAGTTCAGTGGACAAAGTGATGAAGGAAAATGATGAATTCAGGGATTCTGTCTCCTGGCTTCAGAAGCACATACTGAGCCTCAAATCTGCTAAGATTGCCCTGAGTGAGAGTCTTATCTGCTGTAGAGAAAGAGCTGAAATTGTGGAAAACAGACACAAGCTCTTATCATGTAAATGGCTGACCTGCAACAAAAGTTGCATACACATCCTCATCAGGTGTCTACCATTACAGTCAGGGCACTGATTGGAAAAGAATGGGACCCTGCAACTTGGAATGGGGACACTAAGTTTGTGAACTCTGAGGAAGCTTTTTTGCCAGAAGCAACAGCTTCCCCATCTCCAGTAGCGGCAACATCCCCACCTGGACCCATGCTGCCATCAGCCTTTCCACCCTTGTCTGAGGAGATAAACCCTGAGTGGCCTGAGGCAACAGTGATAGCCTCCCCTAAGGCAGTTGCCAGGAAAAATAATGTTGATTCTCCTCAGGAGTCACCCTCAACACCCCTGTTTGCTTCTAGACCTATAACTAAAGTCCCGGCGGGCCCCTAGAAGTGAGGTTGAGAGTGTGACCCATGACGGGGTGCGCTACACTTGAAAAGAACTGTTTTGAGTTTTCTAATTTATATCAACAGAAATCTGGAGAACAGCCATGGGAATGGATATTAAGAGTAAGGAATAATAGTGGAAGGAACATAGAGTTGGATCAAGCCGAATTTAATGAATTGGGCCCACTAAGTAGGGACTCTGTTTGTTTTTTTTGTTTTGTTTTGTTTTGTTTTTTGAGATGGAGTCTCCCTCTGTCACCCAGGCTGGAGTGCAGTGGCATGATTTGGGCTCACTGCAACCTCCGCCTCCTGGGTTCAAGAGATTCTCCTGCCTTAGCCTCCTAAGTAGCTGGGATTCCAGACGTGTGCCACCAGGCCGGGCTAATTTTTGTATTTTTAGAAGAGACAGGGTCTCATCATGTTGGTCAGGCTGGTCTCGAAGTCCTGATCTTGTGATCCGCCCACCTCGGCGACCCAAAGTGCTGGGATTACAGGCGTGAGCTGCCATGCCTGGCCGGGACTCTGCTTTTAATGTTGCAGCTCGGGGAGTTAAGAAAGGTTCTAATAGTTTATTTGCTTGGTTACCTGAAATATGGATTAAAAGGTGGCCCACTGTGAGCAACCTGGAAATGCCTGATCTCCCTTGGTTTGATGTAGAGGAAGGGATCCAAAAGCTTAAGGAGATTGGGGTGGTGGAGTGGATTAGTCCCTTTAGACCTACTCATCACAGCTGGGAAGGTCCAGAAGATATACCCTTGACCAATGCCTTGTGAAACAGATTGCTGAGGGCAGCACCTGCATCTGTGAAAAGCACTGTAATTGCTCTTCTCTGTATGTCAGATCTCATGGTGGGAAGCACAGTCACTCAACTACTAAATTTAACTACAATGGGAATAATTGGATTGCAAAGTTGCAGGGGCCAACTAAGTGGCAGCACTCAACCATCAAAGGCAAGTGGGCATAGCTACCACAATGGGCAGCAGAGGCAAAGTGGCAATCAGAATAATCTGACTCCTGTAGAGCTCTGGCATTTGCTAATTAATCATGGTGTTCCTAGAAGTGAAACTGATAGGAAGCCTAATGCATTTCTACTTAATTTATATCAGCAGAAAACTTCTAGGTCAAATGGACAAAATACTAAGTTGAATTCTAAAAATAGAGAATCATGGCCCCTCAATCAATTTCCGGACTTGAGCCAGTTTACAGATCCAGAACCCCTTGAATGAAGGGGAGGCCGGGTCCCCTTGAGGAAGGATCCCACTACATTACCAACAATTTATGCAGTGAATCTTTCTCCCATCCTTCCCCAAGACCTCTGGCCTTTTACCAGGGTAACTGTGCACTGGGGAAAGGGAAATGATCAGACATTTCAGGGACTACAGGATACTGGCTCTGAGCTGATGCTGATTCCAGGGGACCCAAAACGTCACTGTAGTCCTCCAGTTAAAGTAGGGTCTTATGGAGGTCAGGTAATTAATGGAGTTTTAGCTCAGGTGCGACTTACAGTGGGTACAGTGGGTCCCCGGACTCATCCTGTGGTCATTTCCCAGTGCCAGAATGCGTAATTGGCATAGGCATAATTAGGAGCTGGTAGAACCCCCAGATTGGCTCCCTGACTGGTAGGGTGAGGGCTATTATGGAGGGAAAGTCCAAATGGAAGCCATTAGAGCTGCCTCTACCTAGAAAAATAGTAAATCAAAAACAATACCGCATGCCTAAAGAGACTGCAGAAATTAATGCCACCATCAAGGACTTGAAAGACGCAGGGATGGTGATCCCATTTGGCCTGCGCAGAAGACATAGATCTTGGTGAATGACAGTGGATTACTGTAAGCTTAACCAACTGGTGACTCCAATTGCAGCTGCTGTATCAGATGTGGTTTCACTGCTTGAGCAAATTAACATATCTCCTGGTACCTGGTATGCAGCCATAGACGTGGCAAATGCCTTTTTCTCCATTCCTGTCCATATGGCCCATCTGAAGCAATTTGCCTTCAGCTGGCAAGGCCAGCAATATACATTTACTGTCCTGCCTCAGAGGTATATCAACTCTCCAGCTTTGTATCATAATTTATTCGGAGAGACCTTGATCACTTTTCATTTCCACAAGATATCACACTGGTCCATTACGTTGATGACATTATGCTGAGTGGATCTAGTGAGCAAGACACTGGACTTATTGGGGAGATATTTGCATGCCAGAGGATGGGAAATAAATCCAACTAAAATTCAGGGACCTTCCACTTCAGTAAAATTTCTAGGGATCCAGTGGTATGGGGCCTGTCAAGATATTCCTTCTAAGGTGAAGGAAAAGTTGCTGCATTTGGCTCCTCCTACAACCAAGAAAGAGGCACAACGCCTAGTGGACCTATTTGGATTTCGGAGGCAACACATTCCTCATGTGGGTGTGTTACTCTGGCCCATTTATCAAGTGACCCGAAAGGCTGCCAGTTTTGAGTGGGGTCCAGAACAGGAGAAGGCTCTGCAACAGGTCCAGGCTGCTGTGCAAGCTGCTCTGCCACTTGGGCCATATGACCCAGCAGATCCACTAGTGCTTGAAGTGGATGCTGTTTGGAGCCCTCAGCAGGCCCCCATAGGTGAATCACAGAGGAGGCCTCTAGGATTTTGGAGCAAGGCTCTGCCGCCTTCTGCAGGTAACTACTCTCCTTTTGAGAGACAGCTCTTTGTCTGTTACTGGGCTTTGCTGGAAACTGAACATTTGACTATGGGTCATCAAGTCACCATGCAACCTGAACTGCCTATCATGAATTGGGTGCCTTCTAACCAATCTAGCTATAAAGTGGGTCATGCACAGCAGCATTCTATCATCAAATGGAAGTGGTATATACGTGATTGCGCTCGAGCACATCCTGAAGGCACAAGTAAGTTACATGAGGAAGTGGCTCAAGTGCCCATGGTCTCCACTCCTGCCACCCTGCCTTCTCTCCCCTAGCCTGCACCCACGGCCTCATGGGGAGTTCCCTATCATCAGTTGACAGAGGAAGAGAAGACTAGGGCCTGTTCACAGATGGTTCTGCACGATATGCAGGCACCACCCAAAAGTGGACAGCTGCAGCACTACAGCCCTTTTCTAGGACATCTCTGAAGGACAGAGGTGAAATGAAATCTTCCCAGTGGGCAGAACTTCAAGCAGTGCACCTGGTTGTGCACTTTGCATGGAAGGAGAAATGGCCAGATGTGCAATTATATACTGATTCATAGGCTGTAGCCAAGAGTTTGGCTGGATGGTCAGGGACTTGGATGAAGGATGATTGGAAAATTGGTGACAAAGAAATGTGGGGAAGATGTGGATGGACCCCTCTGAGTGGTCAAAAACTGTGAAGTTATTTGTATCCCATGTGAGTGCTCACCAAAAGGTGACCTCAGCAGAGGAGGATTTTAATAATCAAGTGAATGGAATGACCCATTCTGTGGATACTACTCAGCCTCTTTCCCCAGCCACCCGTCATCACCCAATGGGCCCATGAACAAAATGATCATAGTGGCAGAGATGGAGGTTACATATGAGCTCAACAACATGGACTTCCACTCACCAAGGCTGTCCTGGCTACGGCCACTTCTGAGTGCCCAATTTGCCAGCTGCAGAGACCAACACTGAGTCCTTGATATGGCACCATTCCTCGGGGTGATCAGCCAGCTACCTAGTGGCAGGTTGATTATACTGGACCTCTTCCATCACGGAAAGGGCAGAGGTTCATCCTCACTGGAATAGACACTTACTCCAGATATGGGTTTGCCTATCCTGCATGCAATGCTTCTGCCAAGACTACTATCTGTAGACTCATGGAATGCCTTATCCACCAACATGGTATTCCACACACCATTGCCTCTGACCAAGGCACTAACTTTACAGCTAACAAAGTGCGACAGTGGGCTCATGCTCATGGAATTCACTGGTCTTACCATGTTCCCAATCCTGAAGCAGCTGGATTGATAGAACGGTGGAATGGCCTTTTGAAGTCACAATTACAATGCCAACTAGCTGACAATACTTTGTAGAGGTGGGGCAAAGTTCTCCAGAAGGCCATGTATGCTCTGAATCAGTGTCCAATAATATATGGTACTGTTTCTCCCACAGTCAGGATTCACAGGTCCAGGAATCAAGGGGTGGAAGTGGAAGTGGTACCACTCACCATCACCCCTAGTGATCCACTAGCAAAAGCTTTGCTTCCTGTTCCCGCAACATTATGTTCTGCTGGCACAGGGGTCTTAGTGCCAGAGGGAGGAACGCTGCCACCAGGAGACACAACGATGATTCCATTAAACTGGAAGTTGAGATTGCCACCTGGACACTTTGGGCTCCTCCTACCTTTAAGTCAAGACTAAGAAGGGAGTTACAGTGTTGGCAGGGGTGATTGACTCAGACTATCAAGATGAAATCAGTCTACTACTCCACAACAAAGGTAAAGAAGAGTATGCAAGGAATACAGGAGATCCATTAGGGCGTCTCTCAGTATTACTATGCCCTGTGATTAAGATCAATGGGAAACTACAACGCCCAATCCAGACAGGACTACAAATGGTCCAGACTCCTCAGGAATGAAGATTTGGGTCACTCCACCAGGAAAGAAAACCACGACCCGCTGACATGCTTGCTGAATGCAAAGGGAATACAGAATGGGTAGTAGAAAAAGGTAGTCATCAATACCAGCTACGACCACGTGGTCAGCTATAGAAACAAGGACTGTAATTGTCATGAGTATTTCCTCCTTCTTTTGTTAAAAACATGTTTGTGCATGTATACACTTCTACTAAGAAAATATCTTTATTTCCTTTTCCTTTATCATGAGACATAAGATTTATTGACTTCATATCAGCATTTATGTATTATTAACTTTATGTAATGGTATTTGGGTTGGGGATTGGTACATTTCCAGTTGTACAAAAGACAGTTGTATTATGTTAGGCGTAATTATGACCTTATTATTGTCTTTATTTGAAGATTATGTATGATCTCAGGAGATATGTATGGGTCCAAGGTGACAAGGGGCGGACTTGTAATGGTTAATACTAAGGGTCAACTCGAATAGATTGAAGAGTGTGAAGTAGTCATGCTGTGTATATCTGTAAGGGTGCTGCCAAAAAAGATTAACATTTGAGTCAATGGGCTGGGAAAGGCAGACCCACCCTTAATCTGGTGGGCACAATCTAATCGGCTGTCAGTGAATATAAGCAGGCAGAAAAACACGAAAAGGCGAGACTGGCCTAGCCTCCCAGCCTACATCTCTTTCCCATGCTGGACGCTTCCTGCCCTTGAACATCAGACTCCAAGTTCTTCAGTTTTGAGACTCGGACTGGCTCTCCTTGCTCCTTCAAGCTTGCAGACAGACTATTGTGGGACCTTGTGATCATGTAAGTTAATACTTAATAAACTCCTCTCTCTCTCTCTCTCTCTCTGGATGGATAGATAGATAGATATCCTAAATATTACATATCTTCTATTAGTTCTGTCCCTCTAGAGAACCCTAATACAAGCCCCATCCTTTTCCCCTGAAGTATTGCAAAACTGACTGGATTACCACTATACCGTCGTGTTACCTATTTCAACTCACATAATTGTAAGGACTTAAAAGAAGCCACCATTCAGAAAATTTACTAGCGATCTGTAGTATGTTCCCGCCACATATCACCTGCAAGTGTGTGACTATAAACCTCTCTTACTCTCCCCTTTAAAATGGGGATCTTGTGAGAAATATAATGCTCACAGCTAGCACATACCAAACACCTTCCTAAAATGTGTATCAACAAAAAACATCTATTGCTGAGAATTTTTTTTTTTTTTTTCAGACAGAGCCTCTCTCTGTTGCCCAGGCTGGAATGCAGTGACATGATCTTGGCTCACTGCAAACTCTGCCTCCCAGGTTCAAGCGATTCTCCTGCCTCAGCCTCCAAGTAACTGGGATTACAGGAGCACACCACCATGCCCAGCTAATTTTTGTATTTTTAGTACAGACGGGGTTTCAGGAGTTAGAGGCCAGGTTGGTCTCTAACTCCTGAGCTCAGGTAATCCCCAAACCTTGGCCTCCCAAAGTGACAGGATTACAGTCGTGAGACACCAAGCCTGGCAGAGAATTCTCCTTAGCCTCAGACACCGGTAGTGAAATGGTTACTGCAATGTCAAGGGAGAAATGTCAAATACTAAGAATAAGGGGTGACTCTGGCAGAAGTAAAAGCTGATAGCATATGTAAAGCCCCATAATACATCTAGTAAAAACAATGAATTAGGCCAGGTTAAATAGTTGAATCAATTCATTTTACTTCCACTTCTTATTATATAATATCTCTACCTGATAAAATATATGCACACCAAAGTCGCAGCCTTGTTCTACACTTAATATCACTGGTTTCATAATGGGGATGAATCCTGTTACTAAAAGAACATTCATTTGTTAATAACAACATTTTTGTTACTCTGATGGAAGCAAGTCTCAAAAAAGGTTTTGACAAAAATGTTACATACGAATATGACCTAATGTATAATCTTCACCCCAATCACTGCTCAAAAGGTTCTAAAATTCTAAATCAAATATACTATTACATACAATGTCTAGAGTGCCAAAATCTCAGAGTGCCAAAATCCTCATTTATAAAATTGAAGTAATATGTCTCTTAAAGAGCTGTCAATAATAAAGTAAGCAAAAAAATTAATTCAAATTGGATCAGACACTTGAACTCAAGGCCAAAACCATGAAGCTTGCAAAAGAAAACAAAGAAAAATGTTTTCAGGACTAAGGGGTAGGTAACACTTCCTAAGACACAAAAAGTAATAACCAGAAAAGAAAAAAAAATCAATTAGATCTCATCATATTTAAAACTTTGTATCTTCAAATGATATTGTTTAAAAAAAGACTCAATAGGCAAGCCACAAACTGGGGGGAAAAGGTTACAAAATGTAAATCCAAAAAAAGAACTGGAATCTAGGACATATAAGGAACTCCTACAACTTAATGTTCATTGCAGGCCGGGCATGGTGGCTCACACCTGTAATCCCAGCACTTTGGGAGGCTGAGGCAGGCAGACCACCTGAGGTCAGGAGTTCGAGACCAGCCTGAGCAACATGGTGAAACCCCCATCTCTACTAAAAATACAAAAAATTAGTTGGGTGTGGTGGCATGCACCTGTAATCCCAGCTACTTAGGAGGCTAAGGCAGGAGAATTGATTGAACCTGGGAGGCGGAGGTTGCAGTGAGCTGAGATCACACCACTGCACTCTAGCTGTGCATGATAAAAGCGAAATTCCGTCTAAAAAAAAAAATGTCGGCTGGGCATGGTAACTCACGCCTGCAATCCCAGCACTTTGGGAGGCCAAGGCAGGCAGATCACAAGGTCAGGAGTTCAAGACCAGCTTGGCCAATATAGTGAAACCCCATCTCTACTGAAAATACAAAAATTAGCTAGGAGTGGTGACATGTGCCTGTAGCCACAGCTACTCAGGAAGCTGAGGCAGAAGAACCGTTTGAACCGGGAGGCGGAGGTTGCAGTGAGCCGATATCATGCCACTGCACTCCAGCCTGGGCAAAAGAGCGAGACTCCATCTCAAAAAAAAAAAAAAAATGTTCATTGCAGTTTGTTTACCATATAGCCTGTTTGGAGAGAATAGGTCAACAGAAAAGCAGATGCTGACAATTTCTCTTTTACAAGGAATGGAAGAATGGAGGGTTGCTAGCTAGACAAGGAGAGCAGAAGACTATTTGAAGAAGGCAGGAAATAAAAGTCAGATGGATGCTAGGGCAGTTTGAAGTATTAAAAAATATATTCTACACAGTGTCAGTAAGTCTCCATTTAAAAGATATTTACTGTAATCCCAGCACTTTGGGAGGCCAAGGCAGTAGGATTGCTTGAGGCTAGGTGTTTGAGACCAGCCTGAGCAATGTAGCAAGGCCTTGTCCTCAATTTTAAAAATAAATAAATAAGAGAAATTTGGATTTCAGATGGCAATACTGATGTCCTATTAAGTTGGTTTCAAAAAACTTCTGCACAAACTTAATGCTGGAAGCAATAATTCTTATTTAGATTTATTCAATTCTCCAGATCAAGAAACACAAAAGGTTGTTTGGAAGAAAAATATATTTTATTTTAAAAACTGGATTCGTCCACCAGGAAAAATGAGTGAGTAAAGACTGAAAAATTAAAAACTTAAAAATGTAAAAGCTTTTTAGAACTGGATTAATATATAACACACTTTAGACATTCTGTTTTGTCTGAAAATAAACTTTAACTCTTCTGTAATAATAAGCCAACACTATAAGGATGCAAACAAAGTAATATAGAGTTGCCAATAATTATTAATGTTTTTTGGCTGTAATTCCTGGGCTATTTTATATAATTGTACATTTGGTTCTGCCTAGACATGCTATTCAGCTGGATTCATAAAACATACCACACTACCACACAAGTGCTGGCAGACCAATGTATAATAAACAGTTATCCACTGTAATATTTTAGTACATAAAATTGATAGGGTTGTATTTTTAATATAAGATGTTGAATACTTGTATCAATAAGAATTTCTTACATTTATTGCAAGCTTTTCAAACACAAATCTAAGCATATCATGAATGATGGATCAGTTAATGCGTGTCTGTTCTCTCTCATCTGATTTGCTCGTCTCTTTGCTTTTTTACCGTGGCTGCTTTTGTGCTATCCATGTACTATGCTCTTGCAGTTATACCACACAACAACTTGAGATGTTGTTTTACACATATTAGTAAAAGAAATATCTCAACACCAGGGTTCTGTCTCAGAGGATTGTTAAAAACTGTTTAGACCAAATTGCCAATTAAAAAATGATATTGCATGTGAAATAAAATAATTTACGTTTTTCCCTTTAGCTGTAAAAACAAAATCGCACACAATTTCTAAATACCATAAACACAATAGTAAATGAAAGAGTTTTGTCCAAACTAGTTAAGATGTCAAACCAACCAACAATAACCACCAAAAGTATATTAAACAAGTAATATATAAGTAAGAATACATCCTGCTACCGTAATATGTGAAGGGAAAGGCATCATAAATACTTGGAAAAAACAAGAAGGAACAATTTAACATAATGACTCAGGCATTGAAAGCAAACATATGTAGGTTCAAATCTCAGCTCAGGCCCTTACGAACTATGTGACCTTGTAGAAACCAATTTACCCTTATTAGTAACATGAGAACATCCACTGACATCTCACAGGATGATTTTAAAGATTAAATACTACATGCCAAAGTCTTTAGCAAAGTCCCACATATAAATTAAATTAAATAATAATGGTAAACATTATTATTATTGCTAACTTAAACTTCTTTCAATAAGCATTCGGAATTACCAAAAGACCATAACCTAAGATAATCAAATTTAATCATAAAAATCACACCAATTAAATCACACCAATTTCTAGTTTAGGAATTTTGTCTCGTGATCATATGGAACTCCAAAGAATTCTAAACTATAAACAAGCAATACAGACAGCGGGAATAAGCCATTCTTCCTCCTTTCTCCTAGTCCAAATAATTTAAGAAAAGGGATGAAAAAAAGCAAGAAAAACAATCATTTGGAATCAATCACTTCGCCATTCACTTGATCAAACAATGGCATACATTCAATCACAGCTAAAGATAAAACTAAACAATTTGCAAGTAAAGTTACAAAACTGCACACTCATTTCCTCTAACCTGTAAACCAACTTGTTACAGTTAACACTATAATGATTTTCTGAGACAGAATGCAACTATTCAAACAAGTATCTGTACATGATAAAAATATGAACTTAGTAAAAAGGCATGGCATTCTATCTCATTCAAATCTTCACTTGTACATTCACTCATGAAGGATCTAGCAGGTTCTGGCTCTGTGTCAGCCCCTGTCAAATATTAATAAGGCAATAAGGGTAATCCCTGCAGGAATACAGTATCCGTGAAAGTGTAAAGAACCTGTGACATCAGGTGTCCCGTCTCACTCAGCACATGATTCTGAACCTCCACAGTAAAAGGGCAGATAAAGGGAGTAACCGCAGTGACACCGGGTAGACAGAGCCAGAGCTTATAGGGCCCATCTCATGTGTGCTTTATCTGATCTTCATCTTGAAAGCTATGGTTTTATAATAAACAGCTTTTTGTTGTTTCTCCTTTTATTTATGGTACTCATTTGTTTAATCAGCATATTTGTTCAGTTGTAAGAAAATAAACTCTATACTGCCTTTGCACCCAATCAGGCACCAATTTCTAAGTGTCCATTTTCTAAGTGTCTATTCCATTCTTCGAAGATAGTTCCAAGACCACCTTCTCCAGAAAGCAGAAGCCTTCAATTAAAAAAATCACCTCTTTGCTGCTATGGTATTACATTTAATGATATTTGTACCTTTAATTAGATGCTTTAATTAAAATGTTTACTTAATATTAATATAAGAAAGTATAAATCAAGAACAACTCTCCATACAATTCCCTAATAGTCCTTTATCTGAGATTCAATAACTGCCAATCCACTTTTATATATTACTGGCGCCCAGGATAGCTAAAGAGTTGACAGAGAGTTGTTCAATTTAAACCAAAGGTTCTAAATACTATAGTTTTTCCGCAAGTAAAATCATAAGATCAGAGTTAGGACATTTCCATCTACCCTTTCTAATTATGTGACCTCCTTTAACCTTTTCCAGCCTCAATTGCCTTGTACATACAATGGGTATAACATGCCTATATCACAGTACTGTTAAGAATACAGTAAGAAAACATGGATGACAATGCCTGGCACCAGACCTGGGAACACAGGGTTTGTTCAGTCTCCATGTTATTTTAAGATGGCCAAGTGATGATCTATGAACTCTCTTTCTAGGATTTCTTTTTTCCTTTTTTTTTTTTTTTTTTTTTTTTTTTTTGAAACAATCTCGCCCTGTCACCCAGGCTGGAGGGGAGTGCAGTCGCACGATCTCAGTTCACTGCAACTTTTGCCTCCCAGGTTCAAGCAATTCTCCTGCCTCAGCCTACCGAGTAGATGGGATTACACGAGTGAGCCACCATGCCCAGCTAATTTTAGTATTTTTAGTAGAGATAGGGTTGCACCATGTTAGCTAAGCTGGTCTTGAACTCCCGACCTCAGGTGATCCACTTGCCTCGGCCTCCCAAAGTGTTGGGATTACAGGCGTGAGCCACTGCACCCGGCCTCCTCCATCTAAGATTTCTAATGCAATACTTCAAGGATCTCTTACTTTCATTTCATGATCAAAGAAAATTTAGTATTAAAAACTAAGAACTATACTCCAGTATTATGATTCTTATACAAATATTTCATACAGCTATTAGACTCAGACTTAAGTCTCAAATGCACTTTCTACTTGCATTAAATTTACTTGTAATTTTCTATCCTAGAGTGAGATTCTTTTCAAAGTTACGATGCAGCCTGGGCAGCACAGTGAGAACCTGTCTCTACTAAAAATTTAAAAAATTAGCCAGGTATGGTGGCACACACCTGCAGTCCTAGCTATTTAGGAGGCTGAGGTGGGAGGACTGCTCGAGCCCGGGAGGTCAAGGCTGCAGTGAGCTGAGATCGTGCCACTGCACTACAGCCTGGCCAGCAGAGCAAGGTCCTTTCTCCAAAAACAAAACAAAAGAAACCCCAAAAAAGCTAAAACCAAAGTTACTATGAATAAAGAAGGGATGAGTCATTATTGGCATATTGTTCTGAAGACAATTACTGCACTAAAGCCAGAAAGCATTTCCTTTTAGATTTCTTAAGTTGAATTATTTAACAAACATTTTAATTAGCTACATTGTGAAACAGATAGATAACTTTAAATATTTCACAATTTCAAAAATTCACTAAACATGGAACAGAAAGTCATTAAATTGGATCATCAAGCAGCAAAATTTGGATGTTGTATCTATTAGTGATTACCATAAAATATGACACAGAAGGGTCTAGAGATTTGAAAAACTTGGTGTACAGTATATCCTGAACACCAGAGGAAAATAATAGTTTCTGTGAATATCGAAATAAAGTCAAACTAGCAGAGATCAGTTTAAAAACCTAAGATTTAAATAACATAAGATCTCCCCAGAGGGGAAGTTCTTGAGGTCAAAGCACTAGTCCTCTTTAGTCATCAGGGAGATGCAATCTGCACAACAACAAATACCACTTCATACCCACCAGAATGGCTAAAATCAAGACTAAAAATACAATGTGCTGATGAAGATGTGGAGCCACTGGAACTCTCACACACTGTGTGTGAGAGTGAATCAGTAAACTACTTTAGTAGAAGGCTTTGCTTTGCAGTGTCTACTAAATCTGAACAAATATTAATACATATCCTATAGCTTGGTAATCCCACTCCCAGGTATAGATGCCTAACAGAAATGTGCACATATGCCCAAAAAAGCAAAAACAAGTATAAAAATACTATAACAGTATTAATAGTAAAATGGTCAAAATCTGCAAAACAAAAACAGATGTTCAGTAGTAAATAAAGTGTAGTATATTCACATTATAGAATACTACACTAAAAAATTATCCTTCCTATATACGAAAATGTGTATACATTTCTCAAACATTACATTGAGTACAACCAAAGAGTACATATTATATTATTTCATTTTTATAAAGTTCAAAAGCAGGCAAAACAAAACTATGGTGACATAAGTCAGAACAGTGGTTACCTTTGGTAGTATAGGGGGTGGTTGGTACTGAAATGGGAGAGAACATGAGGGGGGGGTTTCCTGTAATGGTGGTGGTATCCTGATTTTTAATTGTGATGCTGGTTATACACTTGTGTTAAGTTTGTGAAAACTTATCAAAGGTGAAAACGTAGGATCTATCTGCTTTTCTATATGCACGTTAAGCTTTTTAACTTATAAGCAAGTAAGTCAAGGTATTTATATATTTTATATAAGCAAAAATATACATATTTGGAAGACCAGAGTGGTGTTTTGTTCACGAAATTGTTTTTGATGTATATAATTCCATGCATTTTTGTCTTATATAATGACCATTTTCCCTTCTCTCAAATATTTTAATTAACAAGTAAAAATTGTATGTGTTTATCATATACATGTTGTTTTGAATTGCGTACACACCAGGAAATGGCTAAATCGAGCTAATTAACATATATGTTACCTGACATACTTTTCATTTTTTTGTGGTGAGAACATTTAAAATCTACTCTCTTAGCAAGAATGTAGTACACAGTCATTAACTTTAGTCATCATGTTTTACAAGAGAATTTTTTCTTTTTTTTTTTTTTTTTTTTGAGACAAGGTCTCGCTGTTACCCAGGTTGGAGTGCAATGGTACAATCACAGCTCACTGCAGCCTCCACCTCCTGGGCTCAAGTGATCCTCCCACTTCAGTCCCCTGAGTAGCTGGGACTACAGGCATGCACCACTATGCCTGGGTAATTTTAAAATTTTTTTGTAGAGACAAGGTCTCACTATATGGCCCAGGCTGGTTTTGAACCCCAGGGCTCAAGTAGTCCTCCTGCCTCAGCCTCCCAAAGTGCTGGAATTACAAGCAGGTGCCTGGCCTGCAATATATTTCTTATCTACTAACTTATTAACTTATCTATTAATTTATTCTTCCTATCTAACTGAAAAATTTGTACCCTTTTTATCAAATATCCCCCTCCCTAAAACCCTCACTATCCCCCCTTCTCCCTGGTAGCTACATTCTACAATCTACTTCTGAGTTCAACTTTTTTATTTTGCATATGTAGGGGAGATCATGCAGTCTTTCTGTATCTGCTTATCTCACTAACATAAAGTCCTCCAGGTTCATCCATGTTATTGTAAATGAAAGCATTTCCTTCTTTTTTACGGCTATACAGTATTCCATTGTGTATATATACCATATTTTCTTTACCCACAGATCTGTTATTAGACACTTAGATTGATTCCATATCTTGGCTATCATGAATAATGCCACAATAAACATGGGAATTCTGATACTTCTTCAAACACTGATTTCAATTCCTTTGGATATATACCCAGCAGCGGAACTGCTGGATCACATGATAGTTCTATTTTTAATAATTTAAGGAACCTCCATATTGTTTTGCATAATGGCTATTCCAACTTACATTCCCACCAACAGTATGCAAGGGTTCCCTTTTCCCCCATCCTCTCAAAACACTTGCTATATTTTTTGTCTTTTTTTAATAACAGCCATTCTAACAGGTTTTAATAACAGCCATTCTAACAGGTTTTAATAACAGCCATTCTAACAGCCGTTCTAACAGGTAAATAACATTGCAGCTTTAATTTACATCTCTCTGATAATTTCTCAAATATTTTAGAATAAAACTTTTTATGGCTCCGAAGTTGAATGCAGTACTAGATAGAGCCATAAATTAAAAGTCTGTAATCTAGAAAAGTTTTCATCAACAATAGTCAAGATGTCTTTTTTATTCATTAACTAGCTGAACACTTAATGATATAGAAAGTTTGGCTACCCAGAATGACTCATTTCTGTGAAGTTTTGTTTAATGAACAGGTTTATTACAAAGATTTTAAATCCTTTTATATAAATGAGTACAGAGTCTTAGAGAACACACTATCGAGCTATAAACTGACACCTTAGGAAGTAAATTAAATCTACTGTATCAGTACAAGGGTGATGAGAAAATCAGTAAGCCCTCCAAATAGAAATATGACAGAATATAAATCTAAATATAAAGTTACATATATTTATTTCTGGTATATCTGTATATTAACACATAAACACACTATCAAGAATGTAAATAATCGTAATAGAAAAATTATATAAAGATATATTTAGCAGAAATATTACATATATCTCTGGGTTTAGGATTTGGGATAATTTTTATTTTTTAAGTTTTATTTTACTGTTTGCATTGTTAAAATGAACATATATCATTTTTAAGGTTAAAAAATAAGCTAAAAGATCTGAGAAAAAGACAGTTCCTGTTCAAAAAAATGAGTCAATGCGTGTTTTCTTCCTGATTCACAGAACAAATTAGTGGGAGAATTTTCTCAATTTTAAGACCTTTCTCCCAATGTTAGCCTTCTGGCATCTGCCAAAGTATACCTACAAGCAAATACCAACAAAGCTCATATAGCAGAACAAATAGAACAGTAGCAGAAAACTGGCACTAAAAGAATTCATAATAACATTAATAAATCATGCTTAACTGAGACAGTCCCCCCACCTCACCTCCAACCCTGAGCCAGCAGTTGTGATTTTATGTTACGTACATATAACTGTGTTCATTTTCTGCTAGTAAAATCGTTCTTCGTTCCTAAGATAGAATTAAGTATACCAGTATTTCCTGATTTTCTATTAAAATCACATAACTTCCAGGTGCTCCATTATCTGAACAAAAATAAGGACCTAGAGGCATCCCTGTCACCAGATGTGTAGCCTTGTGACTAATGTTAGCTGTATCTTAAAGACAAGAAAAGGGAAAAGGTGAATTCAGCTCTCTAGGAGCTCAGTAGTAAATTACTCACCAGGTAGAATTCTGCCCATTGTCTCAATTACTCTTCCCCAGACAACTTCATTTGTTCAGAGAAAAAAACAAAAGCCCAATCTGGTTTATTCTCCCAGCTAATCAAGCCATCCACACAAAGCTGAACTAAAACCATAACTAGAGTTTAAATTTCCTGATTCCTTCCTTGAAAGGTAGTCTTACTAATTAGGTAATTTACAACAGGGCCTTGGC
Organism: Homo sapiens; assembly: GCF_000001405.40. Taxonomy (NCBI): domain Eukaryota; kingdom Metazoa; phylum Chordata; class Mammalia; order Primates; family Hominidae; genus Homo; species Homo sapiens. The sequence goes on along the minus strand of NC_000014.9, from coordinate 71,449,206 downwards.
AAACCAAAGAGGAAACCTGAAAAAGCAGCAGCCTTTTGCTGTCCCTCTGGCTTTAATCACCATGAAGGTCACCCAGTCCTGCCATCAACCAGCTCTCCTACTTTGGAGAAGCAGGCTGACTCAAAGAGCAAACACCTGTCTCTCATAGTAATGACTTTATTCTCCAGGCCTAACTTTATAAATGAGAAAACTAAGAGAGTAAACAGCTCTATTAACACTGTTGTCATTTTTTAAAACAATTCTTTTAAAGAGATGGGGTCCTGCTATGTTGCCCAGGCTGGAGTGTAGCAGCTATTCACAGGCACAATTCCACTACTGATCAGCACAGGAGTTTCCAACCTGGGCCAGTTGACCCCTCCCTTAGGCAATCTGGTGGTCCCCCACTCCCAGGAAATGCTGAACTTAGTAGGGACACTCAATTGGCATAGAGCACTACAGCTTATAACTCCTGGGTTTAAACAATCCTCCTGCCTCAGCCTCCTGAGTTGCTAGGACTACAGGCAGGTACAACACCCGGCTTACAATTAGACTTGAAATGCAGGCTGTTATGAAGAGTCTCTTGGCTACAGTTCAAGGGAAACATAACACATTAATGCAAAACATCTTCAGCTTTCCCCAATTCCACTTATTTCAGCCCATTTCAGAAATGTCTTCTTTATTCCAACTTGAAAATTCATGTTATACTTGTTATAAATGTCAAACGGTTTTCAGAATATAGAATTCCAGTGGCTAGAGTTAGATGCCTGGGAACACAACTAGCCCCATAAACCTTGGGCAAGTTGCTTAACCTCTCTGGGCCTCAGTTTCTTCAGCTCTAAAAAGAGGATAATACCTACTCCATAGGACTGAGGTGAAGGTCAATACATTAGAGCACTTAGGAAACTCTGTGGCACATGGCAACTGATTGATCAATAAAGGTCAGTTATTACTATAATCATTGGTGTGGATGATGTTATTGCTACCAGAAAGACAACCAAGAAAGCGATGGAAGCGTAGGAAAAAAAAGTGCAAAATAAAGGAAAGAGAACTAAGAGAAAGAAGAATGGCAGCTGCCATGTAATAGCCAAGGGGCATTAGACAAGTTCCTTCAGTTTCCTCATCTACAAAACGGAGATGACATCCACTTGCTCCATCACCCTCCTCACAGGACTGTTCTGGAAGCCACAAGAAAATATCTCTGGCCACAGAACAGAAAGCTAAATGTCTTGCATTGTCACTGACCAGAGGGGCTCAACAAACCTTGGAATACCATGAACTTTCACAATGAGCCATTAGTCAAATAACTATGCACATTAAATGAATATTCTGGATACCACTCTAACAAAAAAATCAATAGTAGGCCAGGCATGGTGGCTCACACCTGTAATCCTAGCATTTTGGGAGGCAGAGGCAGGCGGATTGCCAGAGCTCAGGAGTTCGAGACCAGCCTGAGCAACATGGTAAAATCCCGTCTCTACTAAAAAAATACAAAAAAAATTAGCCAGGTGTGGTGGCACACACCTGTAGTCCCAGCTACTTAGGAGCCTGAGGCACAAAAATCACTTAAGCACAGAAGACAGAGGCTGCAGTCAGCAGAGATCATGCCACTGCACTCCAGCCTGGGCAACAGAGTGAGACCCTGTCTCAAAAAAAAAAAAAAAAAAATCCACAGTACATGCTTTTAAAAAATCAGATTAAGTAAACCATAGTAAAGTATCCACTACCTAGTGACACCAAATAGCATCCCCATAATTTTGCACTGGCAGAATAATCAGAACTCTTAGGAAGCATCTGCCATCAATTTTAAAAGGCAACCCTAAAGTGAGCTGTGAAACCCAAGTACACCATAGCACCATAGGCTTGTTAGGGGTCCCACAGCAAATCCAGCTGAGTAGATCTAAACTGCCTCTTATTTAGGCTATGAACATTTGAATAAAGTTATTTTCAAGCTTTGTTCTTTATTATATCCTACAAATTTTCCTTTCACTACAATACTAACATAAAAGCTAACAGAGGATAAGCGTGGTGGCTCATGCCTGTAATGCCAACACTTTGGGAGGCTAAGGCAGGAGGATCACTTGCCCAGGAGTTCAAGACCAGCCTGGGCAACACAGTGAGACCCTATCTCTACCAAAAAAAAAAAATGTAATTAGCTGAGCATGGTGGTGCATGCCTGTAGTCCCAGCTACTCAGGGGGCCGAGATAGGAGAATCACTTGAGCCTGGGAGGTCAAGGTTGCAGTGAGCCATGATCATGCCACTGCACTCCAGCCTGGGAAACAAAGCAAGGGCCTGTCTCAAAAAAAAAAAAAAAAAAAAAAACAAAAAAAAAAACAGAGCCCATCTCTCTTTATTTGCAGGATCTACTTAACTCAATTGGAAATGTATTTTCAAATATGGTTTGTCAAGGAGAGATGAAGAAAAGGCAAGAGTTTCACCCCTTACTGTTTCAGAAGGAGAATTTGGGACTGCAACAGAAAAAGTCATTCAGACACTCTGACCTAATAATTCTTATCCTAGATAATTATCCTAAGAAAACAATCAAGCATTTATATAAAAATGCACACACACAAAAAAACACTGAAGACTGATTTGTAACAAGTGATTACACAAATATATAACAAGATGAAATAGTAAATTCTTTCTTTCTTTATATTTTTAGAGACAGTGTCTCGCTCTGTCGCCCAAGCTGAAGTGCAGTGGCATGATCATAACTCAGCTGCAGCCTGGAACTCCTGGGCTCAAGCGATCCTCCTGCCTCAGCCTCACAAAGAGCTGGGATTACAGGTGTGAGCCACCATATCCAGCCTCTAAAAATTATTTAAATAAGATAAAAAATTCAAAAGGTATGCTAAACATAAAAAGCAGAATACAAAACATACATACAATAGAATTCCAATTTTGTTTTAGAAAATACATATGCATAGAAAAAGAGTAAAAGAAATATAAGAAAAAAATATTAGAAACCCAAATGAGCATGGTTTCTTTTTTGATTCCTATTTTCTGAATTAGCTAAAATCAGCTTCTTTTACTTACTTAGTTGGCAAAAAACAATTCCTTTAAAATAAACAAAAAGTGTGAGCCAGGCATGGTGTCTCATGCCTGTAATCCCAATACTTTATGAGGCCAAAGTGGGAGGATCACTTTAGCCCAGAAGTCCAAGATCAGCCTGGGCAACACAGTGAGATTCCATCTTCTACAAAAATAACAAAATTAGTTGGGCATGGTGGCAAATGCCTGTAGACCCAGCTACTCAGGAGGCTGAGACGAAAGAGCACTCCAGCCCAAGGAGGTCATGGCTACAGTGAGCTATGACTGGGCCACTGCACTCCAACCTGAGCAACAGAGCAAGGCTCTGTCTCCATAAAAATAAAATAAATAAATAATAAAATAAACATAACAATGTGGTTTCAATTAACAATTCTGTTAAGTTACCTAATATCTAAATTACTTACTTTGGTACAACTACAATAACTGAAAGAGAAGATGTATTTTGCAAAAGTAGTAATTCGAGTAAGAAATATTTGTCATCCAAATGTTACAATCAACAAATGTTGGAAATATTTACACTGAGAGTGTTTTACATTTGAGAGATAATTGTGTAATATTAATATCAAATGCATGACTCCATATAGTACATATGCACTTAAGTGAACCACCAGTACAACCGATTTGAGAGAGATTATCCAGTCTCTCTTCCCATGCACATCTAAAAACTAAAATTAGTACAGACAAATTCTGCCAGGCTAAAATCAGACTTTGTTTCTAGATACAAGAATTAAAAAAAAAAACTTAGACTTTATTTTAAAATAAAATTCCCGAGAAAGAAACAGTGATCAGTGTAGCTAAACAAGATTAAATTTCAGCTCCAGCTGATAACTTCTCTCATCTTAAGACAAAAAAAGTGAATTCTGATTCTAATCCTACTCTCTCACCAAGGCCTCAGACAATTGAGAGTTCTCTACATATCAGGAAATATACAGGAGGTCACAATTTTGAAAGAACAAAGTTTTCCTTCTTTCTATGACATCAGAAGATTTTCAGCTTAATAAATGGATTTTTTCTTACGCCAGGATAAGTAGAAACTGTCAATGAAGCAATTAGATTGCATGTTGTCTTCCACTAACTATAATTATTTCATATGAACATGTTTTCTTTCTCCAAATAAAATGCTTCTAAAGTTCATATCACAAATATTTTATACTTAAATGTGGTATCTGTTAGCTTTTGCTCAGCCTAGAACCACCTGGAACCACCTGGTCCTGGGGTGGAGGTATCTTCCCATGTTTAGGAACTGTCTCTTCTAGGCACAGAACAAGCACTAGCTAGTAGCTCCCTATACAGGCTTTAGTGGCAAAGAGCACTTCATCAGCTTCTTTATAACATTCCAAAGCTGAGAGTATCCTTTGTGACTCCTTCACATAATACAAAAACTCCAACTCAACAGTATGCAGGTAGAAAGTCTAAAGGGTCCAACTATGTTCTCTCAGTGCCAATAAGAGGGAGCAGCAGACACCTACCTGGGCCTGGCTCAAAAACACCTCATGACACCATTCTCCAGGGACCAAAGGGAAAGAGGTCAGTCTTGCTTTTCACAGTCACACTGAGAACACTTACTGTCTTTACAAAAAAGTAAACCACAACCAAGCTCCCAGGATGAGCAAAAGAAATGCCAATCTGGGAACTGTAGATAGGAAATGGTCTCAGGCATTGAAAAATTCGGTGGATATTCATTCCCTATTCTGAGAACCATGAATTAGGAGAGTCTGGGAACTTTTTACCTTCTTCTGAAGTTGCTCTGATTTCAAAACGCTATCCTATAACCCCCCAAAAAAGTACTGAATGGAATACTTTTATTTTTTGAGAGTGAATGCTAATTTGATTGAGAATTTTATAGTGTTCTCATTGAAGTAAATGAAATCATTCTTTGTGTTCACAGAGAGGTGGGAAGGGCTGTAGCTCCGTGCTATTTGTAAACGCTCTGAGCACCTAAGAGGCAACAATCGGTATTACTTTCGAGAACGTGAATTGGCTAATGTACTTGCTAGGTATATGCAGAAACTAGACTTCAGGGTAACTGAACATAAGACATGGAACATCCTAACACCGCTGACATCTAACCTTCACAAATGTTTTTGTTCTGCTTTGCTTTAGTGGCTGTGATAGGATTGCCTGGACAGAAACTAATAAATGAAGAAAAACAAGATTGTCTGGACTTCACATACTATTTATCTCCTATGGGTCCAAGATACAACATGTGTGACTCTAGGCTCTTCTCCCTTCTACCTAGGCAGGTGCCAAGGAATGTACTCCACAGACCTGTGGAGAGGGGGATTCCTATGCAAGTTATTTGCAGCAAGAGGATGACAGTGGGTCCCCAGTGGGGGACAGTGTGGCACCTCTGTAACAGAAGTTGTCCCTAGTGATTTCCTTTATTTCTCAGAAAAGTGTTGTTGCAACTATGGTTGCAGATATATGTGTATGCCATCTAATACTGTAAGTCTGGGTTTTAAAAGTCTAAATTCTACAGAGTAGAAATTATTCTGCTTAACCCGCTTAGCATAACACAAGCTCATTACCATCATGAAAAATAATTCCATCAAGGCAGAGATTATTAGGGAAGGGCTCCTGGAAGCACACTTGTTGGTTTTCCAAAGGTCTTATTGCATGTCATCTCAAGTACATTAAATACTGGCAACATCTCTGCTTCAACTTGATAAGTGGCTTCCATTTGAAAACCAATTTCATTTTATATTTATTCAAAAGCCCATAAAAAGGATTACAAGGAACTATAAATACAAACAAGCACAAAAAGATAAAATTCTTTATCAATGATTAAATATTACCAGTTTCCAGAATTCGTGTATTGATTAGCCCCAAAAATTACTTTTATAAAAAATATGATCAGCAACAGACAAGTACCTAGAATATCACTAAAGTCTTGTGTATGATGCAACAATTACCTCCTTCACACTAGATACTGGACTACAAAATTATAAAATGGAATTCTGAAAGGCTAAATATTTTCAGACAGAGTAACACTGAGATTTCTTACAGAATAAAAACCGAATCTCAGGACATTTTGAACACAGGCACTGTAAGCACAAAGTTTACCTCCCTAACTAATACTGTAAACTGGTTCCAACATGAATTATGTCCAGAGGTTTCTAAATGATATTCCAATAACCATCTCAATGTGCAACATGCCATACATTATCCTTAAGAAAATGTAAGACGTCACAAAAACATAGGCTCTTTTATGATTATCAAATCTTTTTGTTTGTTTGTTTTAAGAGACACAGTCTTGTTTTGTTACCCAGGCTGGAGTAGAATGGCATAATTATAGCTCACTGCAGCCTTGACCTCCTGGGCTCAAGTGATCTTCCCATCTCAGCCTCCCAAGTGGCTAGGACCACAGGCACATGCCATCACGCTTGGCTAATTTTTATTTTATTATTTTTTTTATAGAGACAAGGTCTCACTATGTTGCCCAGGCTGGTCTCAAAGTCCTAAGCTTACGCAATCCTCCCACCTCAGCCTCCCAAAGTGTGGGGATTACAGGCATGAGCCACCACACTTAGCCAATCATCAAATCTTTAAACAATCACTGTTTTCTCCTATTTTCCTATTTTGCCCTATCAGAAAAAACTTAATATTTATAGACAAAAGAAAAAAAGTACAACACAAAGAAAAAAATTTATAGACATTTCTCCATTTATTTCAACTTTCTCTTCATTAGATGTTAACAAAATAACATTTTTCATGTTAATTACTATAATTTAAAAAAATAAATTCCAAGTTGCCAGGGGAAAAATCTCATTACTCTTCCATGCTTTGGCAAACCTTCTTATGCTTCCATCTATACTCTGGGCTTTGAATCAAGTAAATGAAATCTTGGCTGGAAAAGACATACATTATTAAATAATTTAGGATACTGACCCTTTCTAATGCAAAAGGAAGAGAATGTCAATACTATATGTTCTGAATTTTTTTAATTAGCCCGCAAGATTTTACAGTTTAAGTTACTTCTTTTTTTTTTTTTTTTTTTTTTTTTTTGAGACAGAGTCTTGCTCTGTCATCCAGGCTGGAGTACAGTGACGCGATCTCAGCTCACTGCAACCCCAGCCTCCCAGGTTCAAGCCATTCCCCTGCCTCAGCCTCCTAAGTAGCTGGGACTACAGGTATGCACCACCATGCCTACCTAATTTTTTGTATTTTTAGTGAAGACGAGGTTTCACCCTGCTGACCAGGCTAGTCTCGAACTCCTGACCTCAGGTTATCTGCCTGCCTTGGCCTCCCAAAGTGCTGGGACTACAGGCAGGAGCCACCACACCTGGCCATACATTTTAAGTTACTCCTGATCTACATGGTTATTTTATTATCTAAAAAGGACTTTAAAGTGTTACTAACATTTTAAAGCAACATATCAAAAAAAGTTTTAATCTTTATCACTAACTAAAACCTACGGAACTAAGAGAAAGGAGTGTTAATCAAAAACTTAGCCAGTCTTTCCATCCACTATAGTAGTTACTGTATACGAACAATTACCCGAGATTTATCCAACGTTCATTCAACAAGCATTTATTTAGTACTTACATGTCCCAAGCACTATACTCTGCCATGGAGAGGCAATAATGAGCATGACAGACATGGTACCTGAATGCAGGAATCTTAGAGACTATGTCCCTCCATGCCACCACTTTAAGCTCAAAAGAAGCATAAAAGTATAACCCTTTCCAAATAGCAGTATGATGGCTATGTTTTTATAAATAATCTAGATGGCTAAAGGTTCAACCCAAGATCCTTTGGGAACTTCTGGGCAGCAATACAAGGACAGAGGCCACTAGGAAGCTGGCTCTTTTCTGGGACTATGGAAGCCAGCCTAGGGAAGGCCACACCAGATCCCATCTAAATATTTTGGCCAGCCTATGCTCCAAGGGAAAATCTCCCTCTGCAAGACTTTGGATCAGAAACAGATCCATAAATAACCTCCATCAGTGGCAGACTTAAGAGGCTGTGTATGTAAAATAAGTTGCAGAAATTCCATTATTCAAACAGACAACACCATGTTTCCAGTCACCTCAAAGCCATGAACTCACCAAGGTAACAAGATGCTGAAAATTTATACCATCAGAATTATAATCCATTAAACAAACAACTAGATTTAATGATCTTTCCCAAATAGTAAGTCTGAAATTTGTTTTTTTACACTGAATCTTAACTTTCCTTAGTGATATCTTTTAAAGAACTTAGAAACAATTTCAGTTTTATGCAAAGATACAGCTAAAGACAAAATTCAAGTTCAGTATGAAAAAAGAGGTATCACGCACCTTCACCTACCCCAAAACCATCAATGGTTTCTCAATACCTACATTAAAAGGGTAAAAATTCTTTGATTAGGCACTCCAAGTCCTAGACAAGTCAATTCCAACCTAAATTTTCAAATCCATTTCTCTGTACACCACTCCCCATATACACCACTCCAGGGAAACTGAACTATTCTTTCTTATCTGAATATACTCTTCACTTCAGATTTTTCTTTTTCTTTACTTTTCCTTTTTTTTTTTTTTTTTTTTTTTTTTGAGATGGGTTCTCACTGTCACCCAAGCTGAAGTGCAGTGGTGTGATCTCAGCTCACTGCAGCCTCGACCTCCCAGGCTCAAGCTATCCTCCCCGCTCAGCCTCCTGAGTAGCTGGGACTACAGGCACCCACCCATGGTCAGTTAGTTTTTGTATTTTTTGTAGACGGGGTAACACCATGTTGCCCAGACTGGTCACAAACTCCTAGACTCAAGTAGTCGGCCTGCCTCGGCTGCCCAAAATGCTGAGATTACAAGCATGAGCCACTGTACCTAGACATATTTTATTTTTTTAATCATCTTACTTATGCTACAAGTTTAGAAGCTTTAGGCAGTGGCTCATGCCTGTAATCCTAGCACTTTGGGAGGTGGAGACAGGCAGACTGCCTGAGCTCAGGAGTTCAAGACCAGCCTGGGCAACATGGTGAAACCCCATCTCTACTAAAATAGAAAAAAATCAGCCAGGAATGGTGATGCACGCCTGTAGTCCCAGCTACTCAGGAGACTGAGGCATGAAAATTGCTTCAACCTGGGAGGCAGAGGTTGCAGTAAGCTGAGATGGCGCCACTCCAGCTTAGGCAACACAGTAAGACTCTGTCTCAAAAAACAAACAAAAAATAAGTTCAGAAGCTTTAGGAGGGCAAGGCCTGTATATGACTGACCTCTTCTTCCAATCCTTTCCCTGTCCCTCTTCCCGTATAACAGGAATTAAATGAGTTAATAGGGAGTGGCTTCTAAAAATAAGTCAACCAAATCATGAGATTATTCAACATCTCATGGTTGTTCTGCCAAGTGATTCATCACCTCTAAGACCCAAAGTTAAAGTTTGAATAGATGTAGACACTTCTCTCACATCTGGGCAAGGAATTCAACAAAAATCTTTTAAATCAAAAGAAAACGTTTTACCTAAATAAGGTTTTCATTAGTGGTAAAATATTTAGAAACAACAGAAACAGTGAACTGAAACTAAAAATGTAGGGGAAAAAAGACTGTGCTACCAAATTTTATAATGTCCATGACACTTTAATATTCTTTTCTCCTCCAGCCAAATACTTTTCTTAGAAAGATAAATTAATGTTTTCCATTCCATACTCATGAGTAGTTATGAAAATAAAGTAGCATATACTATGGTAGAGGGTTTTAAGTTATTAATCAAATTAAAGTTGACTCATAAAATATATTTTGACCTTGATGCTTTCCAATGTGGGTATCACCCCATTAAAACATCTGTTTTCTATTTCCAACATTTCAGAATCATTAAATTTATGACAAACACAGAATGCTCCACCTACCTTTTCCTTGCAAGGGGTGGTGGCAGTGAAGAAGAGGGAGAGGAGTGGTAGTGAAGAAGACGGTAGTGAAGAAGAGAGAATTAAATACTGACTTTCCCCCTCCTGTCTGCAGCACATTTCTTAACAGTATAAAAAGAGGCTTGGGTTTAATTTTGAGTTCAATGAAGCCTGAGAAGCCAGTTGCTGAAACAGAAATTCATCTGAGAAACTAGCCATCCTTTGTGTTGCCCTCCTCTCCATGAGGTCTTCCTGGGTTAGAGTGATGACAGCTCAACTCCTCCTCAGGGTACCACAGGTGAGCTCTTGGAAAGGCTCTCTTCAGCTAAAACCACATTAGTTAAATCAAATCAAAAAACAGTAAGCAGGAAAGCAGAGGGCAAAAAAAAAACCTGCTCTCCTAGTATTTCTGTATCAATTCCAAGTACTTTCCTTCTCTCACTGCCAGCAGCACCCATCAATTCCCATAGTAACCAGCCCACGGCTTTCCAACCAGCCCAAGAGGGAGGCAAGTAAGCTGCAGGCAGAAGCACATGAGAGCATGACCCAAAACCCAGGCACCAATCTAATAGTTACTTGGTGGCTTAAACATTCCAATTCTACCTCCTTACTTCCTTAATTCCCAGATTCCCGATGGCCCTCTCCTCTTCCCCTTCAACCTGATGTGGAGACAGGCAAGAGGATTTTTTTCTAGAATTCTGCACAAACAATTTTTCTGTTTTCTGGTGCAATTTTTGTTCATGTCTGTTTGGTACCAAAGCAACCGTGGTCCTTTTACCACATGCGCATAAATGTATACTGTTGAATCCTCTGGAATGAAAGTAAAGACTGCAAAGATATTGGGAGCGATATTTTGAGATCTGGGAATAAGGATGAAAAAGGAACGAAGAACAAAAGGTGCTGCTGATGTGGGTGGAGATGATCTTTGCTTTGAGAACAGGATTCATTATGTGGGCTGGTCAGGAGTGGGAACAAGAGCAGGAAGGCCACAGGGGATTGAGAGTACTTCTGTCCCCAACACACTCATCAAGGACGTGCAATCGGGGGCCAAGGCTCATTATGGTGATTTTCAACAGGGAAAGAGGGAATTATCGGAACTGGGGTGAAATGTGGGTGATGATTAAAGAAGTTTGAGAGAAAAAAAAGCATACCTAGCTGATTCTAACATCTAAAGAATTACTATGGTGACGAGTTTTGTTTTGTTTTGTTTTGTTTTGTTTAACTAAAAAGTAAGGTAGAGAATCAAATTAAAAGTGCACAGCATGGGCTATGAACCACTTCTAAAAGGTTTCACATCTTCTTTAACAGAATTTAATGGCTAAAATGTAAGGAGATAACAAGGGTGACAGAAGGTACTGAAAAAAACAGTATGTGAGTCACGGCCCATGTTTTCTTTAGGATAGATGCTGAGTAAACAACTAAAGAGTTACGGTACATGCCTGTGTATATTTTAAATTTCAATAGATACTTCCAAATTACTTCCTATTGAGGATCCCACAGTGGTATGGACAAGCTCTCTAAACTTTTACCTACTGTATGCATGATGCCTTGCTAATTACAGAATATATAATAATAAAGGCCCTAAAATATGATTCAGCATCACTAAAAGTAAAGGGAAAACAGAAATGTTTGTTGTGATAGAGGTAGTATGATGAGTAACTGCTCTCTGTAGTATCAGTAATGAAATGCTTGTACAATAAGCCAGGCGCGGTGTCTTACGCCTGGAATCCCAGCACTTTGGGAAGTCCAGGCGGGCAGATCACTTGAGGCTAGGAGTTCGAGACCAGCCTGGCCAACATGGTGAAACTACCAAAAATACAAAAATTTGCTAAGTGAAGTGAAACACACCTGTAATCCTAGCTACTTAAGTGGCTGAGGCACCCCGAAATACCTCGAACCACAGAGGCAGAGGTTGCAACAAGTCGAGATCATGCTACTGGACTCCAGCCTGGGTGACAGAACGAGACTCTGCCTCAAAGAAAAATAAATTTGTAAAATATATATGTAGTTTCTAAGAGACAGGGTCTCACTATCGCCCAGGCTGGTTTTGAACTCCTGGGCTCAAGCAATCCTCCTGCCTCGGCCTCCAAAAGTGCTAAGATTACAGGCATGAGCCGCCCCTACCACTCCCAGCAAATTTTGTAAAATCAACTTTTTTTTAAAAGCAGATGAGAAATATTTGAGCTACACAAAACAAATTCTTAGAGGATCAATGCTTTAAAAATTTTAAATTAATAAGTAAATTTAACGCAATCCCAATAAGATTATCAGGATATTCTTTTAGAAATTCAAAAGCTGGCCGGGTGCAGCAGCTCATGCCTGTAATCCCAGCACTTTGGGAGGCCAAGGCAGGCAGATCACGAGATCAAGAGATTGAGACCACCCTGTCTAAGACGGTGAAACCCCGTCTCTACTAAAAATACAAAAAATTAGCCAGGCATGGTGGCACGCACCTGTAGTCCCAGCTACTCCAGAGACTGAGGCAGGAGAATCACTTGAACCCGGGCGATAGAGGTTGCAGTGAGCCGAGATCGTGCCACTGCACTCCAGCCTGGGTGACAGAGTGAGACTCTGTCTCAAAAAAAAAAAAAAAAAAAAAATTCAGAAGGTATGTCTGTAGTTTATATGGAAAATAAACAAGAACAATGAGGGCAATTATAAAAAAGAAGAGTAATAAGGGGGACCAGCTTTAATATTTGCCAGATAGTATAAAATATGTTATAAATATATAATAATTTAAAAGGTCTAAAACTGGTTCATGAACAAGCCATCAAATCAATGGATACAACAAACATTCTAAAAAGACTTCAGGAATTTGATAAGATAAAATGTGACATCAGTGTGGAAAAGATAAATTGTTCAATAAATGGTGCTGGCACAACTATACAGCCACATGGAAAAGAGGATGGGATACCAACTCACATTAAAATAAATCCCAAATTGATTTAAAGTCTTAAACATAAAACCCCACAAAGTATTAAAAGCAAGATATTTTTTCATAATCTTGAAGAGCCTAAGACCTAAGTAAGACATAAAATTCCAAAACCATGAAGTAGAATAGTAATAAACCTGATGATCCAAAAATAAATTCATATATAGCAAAAATTACCATAAACGACAAAATACAAACCCACTGGAAAAAACTAGCAGCCCCTATCACAAAGTGCTAATTTCCTTTTTATATAAAAACATTATTTCCATAGATAAATTGGCAGAGTCAATTCACAGAAAGGGAAATTGTTCTTAAGCACACGATAGTATGTTCAACCTCACTTATAACAAGAGAAATGCACAGAAAAATAGTGATAAAATTCCATTTTTTCACCTATGAAATTTGCAAAATTGAATTGTTAAATCACACGCTACCTGCAAGGGGGAGGTAAAACACATACATTGCTGAAGCCAACAGACACATGAAAAAATGCTCATCATCACTGGCCATCAGAGAAATGCAAATCAAAACCACAATGAGATACCATCTCACACCAGTTAGAATGGTGACCATTAAAAAGTTAGGCAACAACAGGTGCTGGAGAGGATGTGGAGAAATAGGAATACTTTCTCACTGTTGGTGGGACTGTAAACTAGTTCAACCATTGTGGAGGACAGCATGGCGATTCCTCAAGGATCTAGAACTAGAAATACCATTTGACCCAGCCATCCCATTACTGGGTATATACCCAAAGGACTATAAATCATGTTGCTATAAAGACACATGCACACGTATGTTTATTGCGGCACTATCCACAATAGCAAAGACTTGGAACCCACCCAAATGTCCATCAATGATAGACTGGATTAAGAAAATGTGGCACATATACATCATGGAATACTATGCAGCCATAAAAAAGGATGAGTTCATGTCCTTTGTAGGGACATGGATGAAGCTGGAAACCATCATTCTCAGCAACCTATCACAAGGACAAAAAACCAAACACCGCATGTTCTCACTCATAGGTGGGAATTGAACAATGAGAACACTTGGACACAGGAAGGGGAACATCACACACCGGGGCCTGTCGTGGGGTGGGGGAAGGGAGGAGGGATAGCATTAGGAGATATACCTAATGTAAATGATGAATTAATGGGTGCAGCACACCAACATGGCGCATGTATATATATGTAACAAACCTGCATGTTGTGCACATGTACCCTAGAACTTAAAGTATAATTTAAAAAAAAAGAAAAAAGAAAAACACATACATTGCTGAGAGGAGTGTAAATGTATACAATGTTTAAGCAGGGCAGTTTAGCAATAAAGATACGAATATATTCTTCCACCCAAAAATGCCTCCATATAAACTGCATACTTGCAAGCTCAAGGATAGCCACTGTAGCACTGTTAATAATATCAAAAGATTGGAAACAACTTAAAGTCCATTATTAAGAGACTAGGTAAAAACTGGAATAAAACACAATGAAAGCATAGTACAGTATGCTACCATTTGTGTAAAAATAAATTTCTACGAAGCATACATATTGCTGGGCACAGTGGCTCATACCTGTAATCCCAGGACTTTGGGAGGCCAAGGTGGGAGGATCACTTGAACCCAGGAGTTTAAGACCAGCCTGGACAACATAGGGAGAGACTCTGACTTTACAAAAAAATAGTAAGTTAGTTGGGCATGGTGGTGCACACCTGTTGTCCCAGCTACTGAGGAGGCTGAGGTGGGAGGATCGCTTGAGCCCAGGAGTTCAAGGCCACAGTGAGCTATGATTGTCCCACCACACTCCAGCCTGGGCAACAAGGCAAGACCCTGTCTCAAACAAAACCAAACAAAAGAGCATACGTATAAATGAAATGTGGCATTTCTGGATTAGATCCTGGAAAACAAAAAGGACAGGAACAGAAAAACAGGTGAAATCTGAATAAAATTTATATAGTTTAGCTTCACTGTATTACCTTGGAATATTATTCCATGGACTTGTAACATCCATATGAAAACATAAAATTTAGCTTTTTAAAAATCTAATTACTTTGTGATTAAACTTACTTCATCTGTGATACTCATATCCTTCTACATATTGCTAATAAGAAACATCAAGAGTATATGTATTTCTTCAACACTTTTAAAATATATCCATTACTGCACCTAAACATACAGGACATCTGTCTCATCTACTAGATTTCAGGTCCTTAACAGTAGAGGCTGTCAAACTCATCTCTGTACTCAAAGAATCTGACAAATATTTACCACACAGAAAGAGTTCAACAAATGAAAGCCAAAATTAATAGGTTCTGGTCCAGTGATCCAATTTTTAATTAGTGAGAAATTTTGTATTCCAAATGTCTCAACAATTCTAAGGGTTTCCTTTGATCATTAGTCACAATCACATGGAAGAGAAAAGCAAAGGACAAAGAGAAGTGAAGTAATTCTCACTAAGGATTTAAGTGGGAAAATAGAGAGGCATTTTAAATATACTACCTTCCAACTTTCTAGACATTTTGCTCTGTGCTAGGGGCTGTAGAGAATATAAAGATAGATAAGATATAATCCTTACAATAAAGGTTGGGCATAATTCATTTAAAGTCAACATTTGAAAAGGTGAAACTATGAAATTGCCTTGGATTTTCAAGAATGTTTTCCATGGAAGGTATTAAAATCCTTTTCAATGAAAAGTGCCTTATTTTGCAATGTAAGAATGTGATAAAACTCCGATTTTGACAAAGTTTTGGTCTTCAATGATCTTTTCTCAGGAAAAAAAAAACTCATGGACAGCATGCTTAAGAATGTCCAGACAAGCACTAGGTGCAGTGGCTTACGCCTGTAATCCCAGCACTTTGGGAGGCTGAGGTGGCAGGATCCCTTGAGCTCAAGAGTTTGAGACCAGCCGAGGTAACATGGTGAAGCCCCGTCGCTACAAAAAGTACAAAAATTAGTTGGGCGTGGTGGCGCACACCCATAGTCCCAGCTACTCAGGAAGCTGAGGTTGGAAGATTGCTTGAGCCCGAGAGGTTGAGGCCATGGTGAACTGTGATTGCACTACTGCACTCCAGTCCGGAAAAGAGAATGAGGCACTATCTCAAATAATAATAATATCCAGACAAGAGTCTACCTTCAAACTCCATTGATAATCTAATCTTGCAAATATCCAAAATCCAAAAGATAATTCAGGAAATAGAGACTCTGAGTTCCCTGAACGGGTAAAAAGAATACTGCTAAGTTTCTCCCAAAGCATTAAGAGTGCTCTCTAACTCCAGAAACTCAGAGTTCTAAGCCTTAGCTCTAACACTATACAGCAGAATAACCTTGTCAAACCACCTGATCTCTGTAAATATCCATTCTCACCTATAAACAGATAACAAATAAGGTTCTTTCCAGATATAAAACTCTATTATACCCCTTTCCATTCACACTCTAAGCAAAAGATCTTATAATCCTTTCATACAAACACACACCAACACATGCATTTGTGCATGTTCAGTGGAAGAGCTACCTGTAACATTTACTTCCTATTTCCATAGCAGCCCAGCCACAAAAACAAAATAGTATTTGATTACAAATCAGGGGCATATAAAAGCAGTTCGCAAATGAATGTGAAAAGGATTTATTCAGTACTATGAAATTAAATAAAAATGTGCATGTTGTACAATCAAACATTCATTTGATTGTTCATTCTGTTGAGGTGCAGAAAACAATACCCCAAAATGAAGGTCTCAGAAGCAAACGCTTTTCTCTGACCTTCTCCTGCCCTCCTGTCTCTCAGTCCCACTCTCTGCTGAGGCTGACCATAGAAACTGGAATCCCTCTTTCCCAAGGCAGATCATAGAAACCAGAAATCCCTTTCCTCAGAGCTAGTCATAAAACATAAATACATTACTATAACTTTCCCTCCACCTTTCTGTGTAAATACTGGCCATAAAGAAATTATCTGACTACCTTGTGTGATTGTAGGTTGTTAGGCCCCCATTCTAGAGAAGGTTGTGCCTCAGACCCCGAGGGAAGGAATTCATGCTCAGAGAGGCCAACAAGAATCTAGATAGGCAGGCCAGGCACAGTGGCTTATGCTTGTAATCTCAACAATCTGGGAGGCCGAGGCAGGAGGATTGCTTGAGCCCAGGAGTTCAAGACCAACCTGGCAACATAGTAAGGCCTCATCTCTACAAAAAATAAAAAATTAGTCAGGCAAGGTGGCACAGGTCTAGAGTCCCAGCTACTCCGGAGGCTGAAACAGGTGGATTGCTTGAGCCCAAGAGTTTGAGGCTGCAGTGAGCTGTGATCACGCCAATGTACTCTAGCCTGGGCTACAGAGACAAGATCCTTTCTCAAAAATTAAAAAAAAGAAAAAGAAAAAAAGAAAGCAAGAAGCACCACCTAGACAGGCCCTGCTGAGTTTCCCCACTCAACTGATTACCATTTAATCACCTCCTTTTTGTCAAAGCCTATTTCTACACGGCTGTCTATACTCTGTTGAACCTAAGCATAAAAATAGACAATTTCCCTGTATCTTTGGGTTTTCATTTTGAAAGCTTCTGTGTACACACATTAAATAAATTTGCATGCCTTTTCTCCAATTAATCTGCCTTTTCTGAGTTGATTTTCTATCAAACCTTCAGAGAGGCCAAGAGGAGCCCTCCCTTGGCCCTTATAGTTCATTCATGTTAAGGATTATGAAGTCCAACTTGGCTTTCATGTGATTTATTTTTATTTATTTATTTATTTTCTAGACACTATCTTGCCTCTGTTGCCCAGGCTGGAGTACAGTGGTGCAATCACAGCTCACTACAGCCTTGACCTCCCAGACTCAAGCAATCCTCCCACCTCAGCCTCCCAAGTAGCTGGAAGTACAGGCATGCTCCACCATACCTAGCTAATTTTTGTATTTTTTTGTAGAGACTAGGTCTCACGATGTTGCCCAGGCTGGTCTCGAACTCCTGGACTCACGCGATTCTCCTGCCTCAGCCTCCCAAGTGCTGATATTACAGCTGAGAGCCACCACACCCAGCCTCATGTAATCTTTTATGTACTAGTTAAGTCCACATATAACTACTTCTGTGAGTTATCTTTAGGAGTGTATACTGCTACTTGACATTTTTACTTTATTTGCCTCTTTTCATAGTGTGGAAGAAAGCACAGTAGGGGAAAGTTGCAAGAATATTCACCCATATGAAAAGATGTGAATTAGCAGTGGGTGGTTTTCTTCTAACTTATTTAACATAATCCTTAGCTCTGGACTACTAGCTTGAAAGCTGATTGTATGAAAAGCAGAACAAGGATCTGTGAGTAGGAGTTAACATGCTAAAAGCATATCGTGCATTTAATTATCTCATCAACTGAAACTGTCCCTTTCAAAATACACAAATAACACTGCGCTGCTAACAAATTTGTTCTCAAGAAGTTTTTTTTCCCTAAATAACAAAAAATATAAGTGTATATGTATATCTATATAGGACCTTTATAATAATATCAATAATAGGTCCTTCACATTTCCACAGTGAAGGATAAAACTGAGTTGATCAGGATTTGAAATACCCATCTTTAAGGATGAACTAGAAAAGCCTCCCTGAGGAAATGAATTTGAATGTGTTTCAAAGGGAGGGCAAGGTGACTTGACAGGTGGTGAAAAGAAAGAGAAATTGCAAGCAAGGAAAATGCCCTGTGCAAAAGCTGCCCCTGTGGTTTCTCAAGAAGCAGAGTCGCAAAGTGATCCCACAACTGAGAAAGATATTAGTTAAGCACAAACAAAAGGGAGAGAAGCTACACATTATGTGACACTCAGCCTCAGTTTTCTCATCTGTTATAGGAGAAGGCTGGATTAAGTGATTTCTCTGGTCCCGTGCAGCTTGTTTCCTATGAGGCACTGCACTGACAACCTCATGCTCCCAAAAACCCTGCTGGGCTCCTGGCTTATTAGCCCCATTTGTTAGATGAATAGAGTGAGGCTCAGAATACTGATGAGATCTCCAGCTAGAGGATTGTAGAGATAAAATGGAACAGACGTAACTATTGTGGAGAAAGAAGTGGCATATGAAGACTGATAACTTCAAAAACCAAAGCTTCTGAAAATAATTTATTGATAAAATAAGTATTACAGTTTTTTATTTTCTTAAAAGATCAAAAGGAAGAAAGAAATATTCCCCATCATACCAGACAACCATGCAAAAAAAAAGGAAAAGAATAAATACCATTCTTACTTTGAAACCAACAGTCCTTTAAGGGAAACTAGAGGAGGTGGTGTGCCTATTTCTGCCCAGCAGTAGCTCTCATTTAATTATGTATTCCCTCTGCCTGTGGTGTCCATAATGAGGTAGGTGTGATGCTGAATATACAACACATCCCTCAGCCATTAGAACACAGATTAGCAGTTAACTGAAGAAGTCTTCCAAACTTCAGAAGCACTTAAGACAACCCTCACACCTAGCTTTACCCCCAATGCACAGATTGTAAAACAAGGTGTTACTTTTACATAAAAGCTCAATGGTAATTATAGTAATTTACCTGCAATTATTCAACAGCAGAATTCT